>NW_021159990.1:0-235734 GCF_000001405.40 Homo sapiens | reverse complement strand
GATCTCCGCTCACTGCAAGCTCTGCCTCACGCCATTCTCCTGCCTCGGCCTCCTGAGTAGCTGGGACTACAGGCACTCGCCACCACGCCTGGCTAATTTTTTTGTATTTTTAGTAGAGATGGGGTTTCACCGTGTTAGCCAGGATGGTCTCGATCTCCTGATCTTGTCACCTGCCTGTGTCGGCCTCCCAAAGAGCTGGGATTACAGGCGTGAGCCACCGTGCCCAGCCTAAAAACTTTTAGGTTTTTAAAGACAGGGTCTTGCTGTGTTGCCCAGGCTGGAGCGCAGTGCACTCAGTCGTTCGCTGCAGCCTTGGCCTCCCTAGCCCAAGCAATCCTCCCACCTCAGCCTCTTGAGTAGCTGGAATGACAGGCTCATGCCATCATATCTGCTTTTTTTTTTGTAGAGACCAGGTTTCCCTGTGTTGCCCAGGCTGTTCTCAAACTCCTGGGCTCAAGTGATCTTCCCACCTCAGCCCCCACAGTGCTGGGATTTCCCGGATTTCCCTGTGTCCGGCCCTGAAGTACAGATTTCGTTTTTTTCTTCTTTTTCTGCACGGAGTCTTGCTCTTGTTGCCCAGGCTGGAGTGCAGTGGTGTGATCTCGGCTCACTGCAGCCTCTGCCTCCCGGGTTCACGCGATTCCCCTGCCTCAGCCTCCCAAGTAGCTGGGATTACAGGCACCCACCACCACACCCAGCTAATTTTTGTATTTTTAGTAAAGACAGGGTTTCACCATGTTGGCCACGCTGGTCTCAAACTCCTGAGCTCAAGCGATCCTCCCGCCGTGCTGGGATTCAGGTGTGTGCCCCCGTGCCCAGCCCTGAAGTCCAGATTTCCTTAGGCTTAAGGGTTGCATGTTCACATTCCCCGAAACCCATATGTTGAAGTCCTCACCCTCAAGGTGACGGGATGAATATTTGGAGGTGGGGCCTCTGGGAGGTGCTTAGGTCATGGCGGCAGTGCCCTCATGAATGGAATTAAGTGCGCATATGTGAGAGGCATCAGAGAGGAAGCCAGCCCCTTCGACCATGCATAGATACAACCGGAAGAGCCGTCTGTGAACCAGGAGGTGGCCTTACCAGACACTGAATCTGCCTGTCCCTTGATCTTGGACTTCTGCCTCCAGGACTGTGAGGAATAAGTGTTTTTGACAAGCCCCCTGCCTGAGCCTGTGGGACCTGGCTGCCCAGCCTTTCCTGTCTCCCGGGGACCCTGGCTCTGTTTGTCTGCTGCACCCACATCCCACACGGCCAGTGCCACTGGGAGTAGCTGCTGCCCCCGGCGTGTCTTTGCATAGAGGTGGTCACATTTGGGACCGTGCGGGCCTGTGGCTCCTTCAAGCTGCCCGTGAGAGCCATCTGTGCCGGCTGGGAAAGTCCTTTCCTTGCTAGACGTTTTTCCGTGGCAGCGTCGAGCTGGGTGCTGTTCATGTGGCCCCGGGGAACGGGTGCTGTGCGGAACAGGAGGAGAGCGAGGTCCTGGTGCTTGCTGCGGGGAGGCCCGGGGCTGGGAGGATCGACAGCAACAAGGGTCCCTGTGGCGTGAAAGCCTTCAAGTCCTTTAGCAGAGCTGCCTCTCCTCTCTTCCATCGGACCCGGGTCCCGGGGTGGGAGAACCTGGAGGTCGTGTGGTTCCCGGGCCCGCACCAGGCCCTGTCCTCATGGTGTGGCCGGGTGCTCACAGCTCCACACCGCCGTGCTGGCTGAGGTGGGACCCCGTGTGTAGGCGGCCTGTCTTTTTTCGGGGTCACAAACCCAACTTTTAACTTATTCCCTTTACAGGAAGCAGTGAAGGATTTCCTTTTAATTTTATCGTGTTTGGAAATGTTATCATAGGACGTGATGCCATGGGCTTAGGCGTTAACTGAGAGGTTCTGAGGTGTGGCAGAGGAGCCCCACAACTCTAAGGCAAAAAAGCAGAGGGGCTGCTGTGCCCGGACCCTGCGGGACAGCCGTGTCCTTGTCACAGGGTGGCCTTCTGTGTTCTCACAGACGAGGAAGCTCTGGGAGGTTAGGGAGCTTGCCGGGCACCCGGCAGGACCCCCCTCCTGTGCCCCATCCTCTGCAGGGCCCTGTGTCCCGCCTGCACGGGCCAGTGCGTGGAAGCAGACACATTAATGGCCTCCAAGCCGTGACCTGCCAAGCAGCTCCCTGACACTTCATGGGGTAGGGAAGAGAGCCCTGTGGCATTTCCCTTAGTGCCCTCCCTATAGACCCTCCAGCTGCCACCACGCCCTGTGGCTTTCCTGCTTCCAGGGAGGGAGACCCTGCCCTCTGGACGTCTCCCTGGACCAGCACCACACTCCAGAGCCTGGCTTAGGCGCTCAGGTCCCGTGTCTGAGCTGTTGCAGGTGGGAAAGGGCCCCTTGGGTCTTGGCTGAAGTTCTTGCTGAAAAGTAAGTAAGTGGTGAGGTTTGCAAAGACGGCTGCAGCTGAGGCTGCCGAAAGGCAGGAGGGCCTGAGCTTCAGGAGCAGGGACAGGATGCATGCCTGTGGCTTGGAATAAAAATGTCTGAGGCCGGGCGTGGTGGCTCACACCTGTAATTCCAGCACTTTGTGAGGCTGAGGCGGGAAGATCACGAGGTGAAGAGATCGAGACCATCCTGGCTGACACGGTGAAACCCTGTCTCTACGAAAAATATATTTAAAAAAACAAAATTAGCTGGGCGTGGTGGCAGCTTTCTGTAGTCCCAGCTACTCGGGAGGCTGAGACAGGAGAATGGCGTGAACCCGGGAGGCAGAGCTTGTAGTAAGCAGAGATAGCACCACTGCACTCCAGTCTGAGCAACAGAGCGAGACTCTGTCTCAAAAACAGACAAAAAAAAAGTCTGCTTAGTGTTAACAGCTCTTTTAAAAACAGAAAAAATTTTTTAAAAAATTTAAAAATGTCCGTTTACAGCCGGGCGTGGTGGCTCATGCCTGTAATTCCAGCACTTTAGGAGGCTGAGGCGGGCGGATCACGAGGTCAGGAGATGGAGACCGTCCTGGCTAACACGGTGAAACCCTGTCTCTACTAAAAATACAAAAAAAATTAACCGGGCGTGGTGGTGGGCGCCTGTAGTCCCAGCTACTTGGGAGGCTGAGGCAGGAGAATGGCGTGAACCCGAGAGGCGGAGCTTGCAGTGAGCCGAGATCGCGCCACTGCACTCCAGCCTGGGTGACTGTGCGAGACTCCATCTAAAAAAATAAAAAATTGTCCATTTACTCAGTTGAATTTTGTTAGGTTTTAATAAAACTGTGCTTATTTTAATCACTAGAAAGAAAACACTGGGGAAAGGTAGAACGTGCTGCAGTGATGAAAATGGGGGATATTATTGCCGAATTCTCACGTGTCAGTCACAGTATTGAAACTTCTCTTTCCTGTCAGTTGCAGTATTCTGCGGAAACCCTGAACAAGAGCGGTCGTCTGTTCCCTTTGGAGCTCAACGGTGAGCACTTTAGGAGCTGTGGCCGGAGGCCTGAGCAGGGCTGGGACTGGGCTCCTGGGCTGGGAGGGTCCTGGACGCAGAACATGAGCCGGATCTGCAGAAGCCCAGGAAGGTGTTCGTGTGCCCTGCACTGGGGCGTGGGGTGGTCCCTGCTGCCGTCCTCCAACGGCTGGGCCCGTGGTCAAGAGTGGTCTGTGAGCAGGACGGCTCGTGTAGGGTGCGGGCCCAGCCAGGTCTCTCCCTCCTCAGCTGGTGGGGCCCAGGGGTCTGCTGCGCCCTTTCTGGAAGGTGCAAGGCCCACCCTGTGGCCACGAAAAGAAGAGGACGGCGTGGCTGGCAGGGCTTGTAGCGTCAGCTGGAGCGTGCCATGGCATACTGGGCGGCCCACCCACTGTCCGTGCAGTGGAGGGTGTGGCTGTGCCTGGTTCACCCGCAGGTGGGCCCTTCATTGATGGAGAGCAGGTGCCCCGAGTATGGAGGCTGGCTGGTGTTCACGGGCCAGGTAACCCTGGGGTCCCAGGTCCTCCCCCAGCGAAGGTCCCAGGGGCATCTCCCTCTGTTGGCCCTGCTTACCTGACTGTGACACGCCCAGCGCCCTGTGTCACGCAGAGTGGGCCCGTTAGGAGGCTCACCTTGCTGAGCGCCAGATGACCAAAGTGAAGGTGTTTTACCAGATTCTTTCATGAGTAGATGGAAGTAGCATGTGTGAGGCCCCAGCTGGCCAGAGCCCCACCCCCTGCCGGGCCTGTGGTGCGATGTCCTCACCTCAGCCTCCTGGGGTTCATCCTGCACACGGGGTCAGACCAGCCACCTCCATCCTGGCTCAGAGCCCCGCAGCGCTTCCTACACTCCTCACCCAGCCGGCCGCTCTCCCTGCCTACACCTCCACGTCTCCTCCCCACAGCCCCCATCTCTCTCCCAGTCACCCCAAGGTCATCCCAGGGCCTTTCCCCAGAGGCAGGTCTCACAGCCTCCACTCCAAGTTCCTCAGCTGGACAGTGACTGCACAAGCCACTGGGCAGACTCCATGCCAGGCCCATGCACCTGGCCTTGCTCTCCAGGCTTCTCCGAACCAGCAGGCAGTGGGCTGGGGAGCGCGTTAGACAGGCAACCCCAGGACAGTTGTGCAGGAAGTGAGACTTGGGAAGGGGCTCCAGGCCTGGACCTGGTGGCTCTGAGGTTTGTGAGGAGTTTCTGGGGCTCAGACTCTCCCTGAAGACCGTGGCAGCAGGTGTGACCCTGTGTTGCCCATGTTACTAAGGGACCTGAGCTGCTTTAAGAAGGGGCCCTGGAGAGTCCTGGCCGGGGTAGCCGCACATCCTTGAGATGCCTGGTCACAGAGGGAGAGGGGCATTTTGAGGATGCGGGAAGAATGTTTTAGCAAAGCTGTCGGGAGAGCAGAGCCGTGCGGTTGTTCTCAGGGAGGCACCGGTGGGGAGGCTGACACCTCCTTCAGACACGGTGTCCCCTTTAAGAAGTGAGCCGAGCCCCGCAGCTAACCCAGCAAGGGCAGGCGGGGCTGGTGTCCACTGTGCGCCACGGACATCTTGGAGAAGCACGCCCAGGGGTGGCGGCGATGGGGTTGTGCCCTTGACAGCTCTGCCAGGCTGTTTGCCGGGATGGATGTCGCCTGCCCTGTGGCTCACCTGTCTCTTCCCCTGCCTCTTTGTGTCTTTTTTTGTAGACCAGAGTCCCTGGAAGGTCTTCAGTGGAGGACCGCCCGTCAGAAGCCAGGCAGCCACGGGCCCTGATTTCTCCTTCCTGCCGGGCCTGTCTGCTGCCGCTCACACCATGGGTCTTCAGTGGCAGCCACAGTCCCCGCGCCCAGGCGCAGGCCTGGGTGCAGCCAGCACCGTGGACCCCAGTGAAAGCACAGGCTCGTCCACGGCCCCACCGACCAAGCGGCATTGCCGGTCCTTGTCAGAACCCGAGGAGCTTGTGCGCTGCCGGTCCCCCTGGCGCCCCGGCAGCTCCAAGGTCTGGACTCCAGTCTCCAAGAGGCGGTGCGACAGCGGCGGGAGTGCCACGCGGCAGGGAAGCCCCGGCGCCGTCCTGCCGAGGAGTGCTGTGTGGTCGACCGGTCCCACCTCGCCCGCCACGCCCCGGCCGTCCTCCGCCAGCGGCGGCTTCGTGGACAGCAGCGAGGGCAGTGCGGGCTCAGGCCCGCTCTGGTGTTCCGCGGAGTCCTGCTTGCCCTCCACGAGGCGCCGCCCGTCCCTCTCACAGGAGCGACTCGCGGGTGCGGGCACTCCCCTGCCCTGGGCCAGCAGCAGCCCCACGTCCACGCCTGCGCTGGGCGGGCGCCGTGGGCTGCTCCGGTGCCGCTCACAGCCTTGCGTGCTCAGTGGGAAGAGGAGCCGGCGCAAACGGAGGCGTGAGGAGGACGCCAGGTGGACACGCCCATCCTTGGACTTCCTGAAAATGACCCAGGTGAGGCTTTCTTATTTCCAGGGGCTCAGAGGGGCGTAGATCTGGACAGGGCGGTGCTGGGGTGAGGCTGGCTGATTCTCTGGATGTGGCTGTTAGCATCCGGCTGGTCTTCTCTGGGCTGGGAGGAAAGGAGTGAGGAGAGCCATCTGGAGTGCGTGGGAGCGATCGGGGGCCTGTCCTGGTGTCAGAGCACCCAGCTCACCCCGCCTGCTCCCGCAGAGGCAGAGCCCCACACACGGCCCAGGGTGGCCGGCCAGGCTTGCAGTGAGGCCTGGGGGAGGCAGCAGAACGGAGCTGTGGGTTTCTGGCCTGGCTGAGCCGCCCCCCGCCTCAGCTGCTGGGGAGTCCCCTGACTTTTTCTGGTGATGGCTCAGGAAGTAACAAGCTGTCCTGGGAGCCCCATTCGAGGCAGAGCCCGGGGTCCTCTCTTGTGGGAGCTGGTGGGTGTGCATGTTGCAGCTCAGAGCCCAGCAGCGCCTGTGCGCTTTGGGACTGTACAGGCACCTCCTGCAGAAACTGTCTGGATGTAGGAGAGAGCCTTCACCCACTTGAAGATTCTCAGTGCCACCCACCTCTCCACACCCCCGTCACAGGCCGTGGTTGGCACAGAGTTAAGGAAGGAAACAGGACTGAGGAGGCTTTCCCAGGTCTTGCTCTGTGTTACTAAGGGAGTGCATTCACCAGAGACCTCTGGGGGCCCGGCAGCGCTCGGGGAGGGAGATGGCAGAGCCGTGACAGAGTAGGGTGGGCTGTGTGCACACTCACTGGGTCATCTGTGTCGGGGAAGCTTTGGGCAGTGGCAGAAATTAACAGGACTTCCCGATGCCAACTGAGTACCAGCCAGGGCCGAGTGGGGCTGTGGCTAGGGTGGGGCGGGATCAGTGTCAGCCTGTCTCCTCAATGACCTGTGGCCTTGGCAGCCCCCTGAACTCTCATCCCCAGCCCCATCCTCCGGGCCACAGGCTTGCCCATGCCCTGCCTCTGGGGGCTGTAGATGTGGGTGGAGCTGTCCATAGTGTGGCTGCACTGTCTTGCTCGGGTGGGCTGGGCCTGGGCATCCTGTGGGGACAGTGACTGGAGAAGGGGCACAGATGGCCCAGGTCCTCCTCGACCTGGCCACAGCCCAGAGCTGGAGAGCAGTGTGGCCGGCGTGCCAGGTGGGATCCCCCAGGGTCCTCCAGGACGCTAGTCCTAGGCCACGCTGAGGGCACCGTGAGCTTTGCCTCTTCTGATCAGTGGGCTCTCCAGTTGATTCTTCCGGGGGGCTTGAGGTGAGTTGAAAACCCAGACTTCCCTGCTATGAAACTTTTCTGCAGAGAGCAGGGTTTAGAGAAGGCTCTGATCTTTTGCTATGAGATGGGCTGACCTGGGGAAGCCAGTAAATGCTGGAAAGCTGGTGGCAAGCTTTGGACATAGCACAAGCAGGCTGTCCCTGCTTGCCAGGGCTTGGGGTGTGCATGGCGTGGGTGTCAGGCCCCACGGGGACCAGGAGGGATGGGAGCAGAGGAGGGAGCTGCCGGCTCAGCACGTTGTGGGGCGGGGAATGATGGTGCCAGCGACGTATTGATGACCAGACAACAGTCCTAATGTAGAGCGGCCCTGGGTTTCTCAGATGCCTTGGGAGACAGACCAGGTGGTTGGGTGAGTTGGTGATCGAGGCTGCATGGGGCTCAGTGTGGACATGGGGTACCCCCGGTAGAGTGTGAGGTGTGGGTAGAGGCAAGGACTCGCCAGACCCAGGACCAGGGCTCATGGACACCCGGGTGTGTGGTGTGTTGGGGAGATGGGTGGGAGAAGGGCAGGGCTGCCGTCAAATGCTGTGTGGTGTGTGTGTGGCACACGTGCTATGTGCTGTGTGGTGTGTGTAGTGTGTGCTCTGTGTGGTGTATGTGGTGTGTGATGTGTATGTGACGTCTATGGGTGGTGTGTGGTCTATGTGTTGTGTGTGTGTAGTGTGTGTGGTGTGTGATGTGTGTGTGGGATGTGTGTTGTGTGTATGTGGTGTAGTGTATGCGTGGTCTGTGTGGTATGTGTGTGGTGGGGGTGTGTGTGGTGAGTGCTGTCTGGTGTGTAGTGTGTGGTGTCTGTGGTATGTGTGGTGTTTGGTGTGTGGTGTGTGTGCTGTGTGGTGTGTAGCGTGTGGTGTGTGGTGGGTAGTATGTGGTGTGTGTGTGACGTGTGTGGTGTGTTTGGTGTGTGCTGTGTGGTGTGTAGTCTGTGTGTGGTGTGTGTGTGCAGTGTGTGGTCTCTGGTAGTGTGTGTGGTGTGTGTTCTGTGTGTGGTGTGTGGTCTGTGGTATGTGTGGTGTGGTGTATATGTGGTGTATTGGATATGTCTGGTGGGTGTGTCTGGTGTGTGTGTGTGTGGTGAGTGATGTGTGGTGTGTGTGATGTGTGGCCTGTGTGTGGTGTGTGTGTGGTAATGTGTGGTGTGGCCTGTGTGTATGGTAGAGTATATGGTGTGTGGAATGTGTGGTGTGTTTGTGACGTGTGTGGTATGTGTGATGTGTGTCGTGTGTGTGGGGTGGGTGGTGTGTGTGTGATGTGTGGTGTGTATGTGGCGTGTGTGTGTCTGGTGTGTGTGGTGTGCATGTGATGTGTGTTGTGTGTGTTGTGCGTGTGACGTGTGGTGTGTGTATAGCGTGTGTGTATGGTGTGTGTGACGTGTGTGGTGTTTGTGTGTGTGTGGCATGTGTGTGTCTGGTGTATGCGGTGTCTGGCGTGTGGTGTGTGTGGTGTGTGTGCGACTAGTGTGTGTGGTGTGTGTGGCATGTGTGGTGTGTGTGGCGTGTATGGTGTGTGTGGCGTGTGGGGTGTGTGTGTGACGTGTGGTGTGTGTGGTGTATGAGGTGTGTGTGGCGTGTGTGTGTCTGGTGTGTATGGTATGTGTGATGTGTGTGTGACTGGTGTATGTGGTGTGTGTGTGGCGTGTGTGGTGTGTGTGTGGCGTGTGTGGTGTGTGTGTGACGTGTGTGGTGTGTGTGTGAGGTGTGCGTGTGGTGTGTGCGTGCATGGTGTGTGTGTGTGTCTGATGCATAGGTGGGTGCCTGGTTTCTCTCTGGGAGGAGAAACCCCCGCTGTGTGGGAACTGGAGCCGTGACCCCTAGGACTGGGGCTGCGCGGGGCATCCATCCCTCAGATCCATGCAGCCCCGGCTTTGGGTCCCTTGCTGAGCCTGCGTGTCCCTGTCCCCGGCTTTGGGTCCCTTGCTGAGCCTGTGTGTCCCTGTCCCCAGCTTTGGGTCCCTTGCTGAGCCTGCGTGTCCCTGTCCATGCAAGCGCTGGTCACCCAGGCTGGTGTCCCGTCCTCTGGATGTTTCTGTGATTCAGTCCTCCTTCCTCTTGACCCCGGTTATTCTGCCTCAGGCCTTGATACCCTCTTCGGCTACTGAGACATCATCCTAGTTGGCTTTGTTGCCTCTAATCTCCATCTTTTTTTTTTTTTTTAAGACAGAATTTCGCTCTTTTTGCCCAGGCTGGAATGCAGTGGCACGATCTCCGGTCACTGCAACCTCCACTTCCCGGACTCAAGCAATTCTCCTGCCTCAGCCTCCCGAGTAGCTGGGGTTGCAGGCATGCACCACCACGCTTGGCTAATATTTGTATTTTTAATAGAGATAGGATTTTACCATGTTGTCCAGGCTGGTCTTGAACTTCTGACCTCAGGTGATCCGCCTGCCTCGGCCTCCCAAATTGCTGGGATTACAGATGTGAGCCACCGTGCCCGGCCCTCTCTTAATTTTTTTTTTTTTTTTTCGAGATGGAGTCTCGCTCTGTCCCAGGCTGGTGAGCAATGGAACAATGGTGTGATCTTGGCTCACTGCAACCTCTGCCTCCTGGGTCCAAGGGATTCTCCTGCCTCAGCTTCCCGAGTAGCTGGGATTATAGGTGCCCACCATCACGCCCAGCTAATTTTTGTATTTTTAGTACAGACGGGGTTTCACCACGTTGGCCAGGCTGGTCTCGAACTCCTCACCTCGTGATCCACCCGCCTCGGCCTCCCAAAGTGCTGGGATTACAGGCGTGAGCCACTGCATCTAGCCAGCTCAATCTTGATATCAATGCCCGAGTGAATTCTCTGCAATGAAGATGCGTGAGCACTGTCCTAGTCCTCTTCTTGGGACAAGCAAGCCTGAATCCAGCAGCTTCAAACTTCACACCTGTGTTAAAAAAAAAACAAAACCCGCCGGGTGTACTGGCTCACGCCTGTAATCCCAGCACCTTGGGAGGCTGAGGCGGGTGGATCATTTGAGGTCAGGAGTTCGAGACCAGCCTGGCCAACATGGTGAAACCCCGCCTCTACTAAAAATACAAAAATTTGCTGGGCATGATGGTGGGCGCCTGTAGTCCTAGCTACTTGGGAGGCTGAGTCAGGAGAATCGCTTGAACCTGGAGGCGGAGGTTGCGGTGAACTGAGATCACGCCACTGCACTCCAGCCTGGGCGACAGAGTGAGACTCTGTCTCAAAACAAAAACAAAAACAACAGAAAAAACCAAAATCAAAACCAAAAACCACCACGCCTGTGCCACCTCACAGTCAAACACCACACCTGTGCCACCTCACAGTCAAACACCACGCCTATGCCACCTCACAAACACCACACCTGTGCCACCTCACAGTCAAACACCACGCCTGTGCCACCTCACAGTCAAACACTATGCCTGTGCCACCTCACAAACACCACGCCTGTGCCACCTCACAGTCAAACGCCACGCCTTTGCCACCTCACAGTCAAACGCCACGCCTGTGCCACCTCACAGTCAAATGTCACGCCTGTGCCACCTCACAGTCAAACGCCACGCCTGTGCCACCTCACAAACACCACGCCTGTGCCACCTCACAGTCAAACACCATGACTGTGCCACCTCACAGTCAAACGCCACGCCTGTGCCACCTCACAAACACCACGCCTGTGCCACCTCACAGTCAAACGCCACGCCTGTGCCACCTCACAGTCAAACGCCACGCCTGTGCCACCTCACAGTCAAACGCCACGCCTGTGCCACCTCACAGTCAAACGCCACGCCTGTGCCACCTCACAGTCAAACGCCACGCCTGTGCCACCTCACAGTCAAACGCCACGCCTGTGCCACCTCACAAACACCACGCCTGTGCCACCTCACTGTCAAACACCACACCTGAGCCACCTCACAAACACCATGCCTGAGCCACCTCAGGGGTCCCGGAGGCCGATGGGGAGGCTCTGCTCAGGCCTCCTTGGAGCTCAGTCAGCCAGGTTGTGGTTACCTGGAGGCTTGACTGGGGCTGCAGGACCTGCTTCTAAGTTCACCCATGTGGCTTTTGGCAGGAGGCCTCATTTCTTTGCCACATGGGCCTCCCTGAGGGGCAGCCTGAGTGTGTTCACGATGTGGCAGCTTGATTTCCCATAATGAGTGACCCCAGTGGGCATGAGCGGGCCCCACAGAGCCCTGTGTGACCTGGTCCTCACCAGCTGAGATTTCGTCTGCTCCTTAACTCTGTCTAGCCCTTACTCAGTGGGAGGAGGATCGGGCTCCACTTTTTGAAGGGAGTGATTTCAAAACCGCTCTTCTCCGTAAGGAGTGTCGGTCAGAAACGGTGCTTGTGGAATGGTGTTAGCATTGATGCTGGCTCTGGTGCCTCCCACCCCTTGTGCTGGACTTTGGTTGGCCACAGACAGGTAGGGGGCTTACAGAGAGGATAGGCAGGTGCAGAGCTTTCTTTGTTCCCTTGTTTCCTTCTTTCTTTCTCTTTCCTTTTCTTTCCTCCCCTCCTCTTCCCCTTCCCCTTCCCTTTCCCTTTCCCCTTCCCCTTCCCCTTCCCTTTCCCTTTCCCCTTCCCTTTCCCCTTCCCTTTCCCCTTCCCCTTCCCCTTCCTCTTCCCTTTCCCTTTCTGTTTTGCTCTTGTTGCCCACGCTGGACTGCAGTGGCATGATCTCAGCTCAGTGCAACCTCTGCCTCCCAGATTCCAGAGATTCTCCTGCGTCAGCTTCCCAAGTGTCTGGGATTGTAGGCGCCCACCACCACACCTGGCTAATTTTTGTATTTTTAGTAGAGATGGGGTTTCACCATATTGGCCAGGCTGGTCTTGAACTCTTGGCCTCAGGTAATCCGCCTGCCTTGGCCTCACAAAGTGCTGGGATTACAGGCGTGAGCCACCACTCCCGGCTTGCCCCGTTTTCTTCAGTGACTTTGTTAATGAGCCAGAACAGTGATGTGGGTGCTGCACACCCCATTCTGCTCCTGGGACTCAACCTCACCTGAAATAAAAGCTTTTCGTTTATTTGCTTCATGTGGGGGCCAGGTAATACCTGCCCGCCCTGAAGTGTGCATTGCCTTAAATTCAGCCGCTTTGGTCTGCTTGCTCACGAGTGTCTTCAGTGTGACCGTAGTCATCGCTTTCTGGTAAAAAGGTTTGTGGGGAGAGGGCCTCATCAAATGTCAGGAAAGCCCCTGAGGAGACAGGCAGTGTCTTCAGGGGCCACGTCTGCAAACCCAGAGCCCTCCTGACCGCGGCTGCAGAGGACAGTGCCAAGACTCCTGAGGGGCCAGGGCTGCCTGCTCTCCCTCTTTCCAGCTCTTTGCTCATCCCACCCAAAAACTGGCTCCCACCTTTCTCTGTGTCCCTCATCTGCCGTCTGTGTGCCCCTCTCCCTGTCAGCCAACCAGTCTTCACCCACACCCACCTACCCCTGCCTGCACCGCATCACCTGAATATGTGGCACCTTTGGTGAACACTTGGCCCCCAGCCTGGGTTACCTGTCAGTTCCTGGTTTTGTTTTGTTTTTTGGAGACAGGGTCTCTCTCTCTGTTGCCCTGGCTGGAGTGTAGTGGTATAATCACAGCTCACTGCAGTCTCCATCTCCTGGACCCAGGTGATCCTCCCACCTCAGCCTCCTAAGTAGCTGGGACCACAGGTGCACACTCCTGTGCCCAGCTAATATTCTCAATTTTTTAAGAGACAGAGCCTTACTATGTTGTCCAAGTTGGTCTCAAATTCCTGGGCTCAAGCCATCTTCCTGCCTCACCTCCCAAAGTGCTGGGATTGCAGGCGTGCGCCACCAGGCCCAGGCTTTGCCACTTCCTGTTTGTGTCAAGCTCCTCTCCACCTCAGGGCCAAAAAGAAATGCTCTGATTTTCCTCTACAACTTTTATAATTGTGTGTTACCGGACAATTAGTCCTGACTCTGGGTGGGCACACACACATACCCACCATGCACACTCACCCCCACGCTTATGTGCACACTCAGGTGCACACTCCCACTCATGTGCACACTCCCACTCATGTGCACCGCTGCATGCTCACGCTCGCTCACATCCGCACCCCGGCTGTGCTGTGCTTGCACCTGGCGGACTCGGTATGCGCAGCCCAGCTCTAGTCCGGCGTCCCTGGCGTGTGTTGTGCAGTCTGCGTGCGCAACTGTGTTCACCCTGCAGGGCTCCTATGTCGGGGCTTATCAGTGGGACCGTTCGGCGATCATCCTCAACCCCCCGCCACCCCCTGCTGTCTGCTCTGAGTCTAGGCTCACACCAGCTTCCCCAGGTGTCAGAGGGCTGCTCTCTGAGCAGGGTGCAGGGGCACTGCCTTCCCTGCCTTTCCCTTGGAAACAGTGCATGTTTTCCTAGGAAAACATTTAGGATTTTCTGCTTTTTTTTTTTTTTTCCCGAGATGGAGTCTCGCTCTGTCACCCGGGCTGGAGTGCAATGGTGCCATCTCGGCTAACTGCAACCTCTGCCTCCCAGGTTCAAGCGATTCTCTGCCTCAGTCTCCTGAGTAGCTGGGATTACAGGTGCCTGCCACCATGCCTGGCTAATTTTTTGTATTTTTAGTAGAGAGGGGGTTTCACTATGTTGGCCATGCTGGTCTCGAACTCTAGACCTCAGGAAATCCACCCACCTCAGCCTCCCAAAGTGCTGGGATTACAGGCATAAGCCACCATGCCCGGCTTTTACTGGCGAAGCTACTTTTTCTGTTTTTATTGGCAAAGCTATGTTTCAAAGTTGAAATTAAAATATGACCATTGAAAATATGCACATCAGTTATGGTTCCAGCAGAGTGTGGAAGCAGCTGCTGGTTTCTATAAAAGCGTGTGCTTTTAGGGCTTTGAAAAGCTTTTGCCACGTAGAGAAGGCGCTCAGCTGCCTCTGGAGAGACCGAGGCTGCTGCAGAGAAAGAAACAGCTTCCTATGTGGCCCTGCAGCTGGGTCACCCAGAGCCTGAGGAGTTCTTCAGACAGGCAGGCAGCTTTGGGGCCAGCAGTTACATCATGGGCTAGAACCTAAGGACAAGCTAGAGGTGCATGTGGCCGTGTTCACACCTTCAGGCCCGCTGCGTTTTTGGAGGTCTTGGGTTTAGTGAGCAGATGGTGCCTTCCGCGGCCTCAGTCACGAGAGCGCAAGGCTTGTCCTCCATGGGGGGGCCTCTGCTGCACCTGCTGAGCTGTTTTCTCTGTGCCTCCTGGGTGAAAATTGAAAAACCAAAAGCTTTGAGCAGCTCCTGGTACCAAGAAAAGGACTGACTTAGTTTGTTTTTGCTGCTGTAACAAAATACCCCCGACGACGTCACTTATAAATAAGAGAAATGTATTTCTCAAGAGTTCTGGGCTGGGCACAGTGGCTCACGCCTGTAATCCCAGCACTTTGGGAGGCCGAGGTGGGCAGATCATGAGGTCAGGAGATCGAGACCATCCTGGCTAACACAGTGAAACCCTGTCTCTACTAAAAATACAAAAAATTAGCCGGCATGGTGGCGGACGCCTGTATTCCCAGCTACTTGGGAGGCTGAGGCAGGAGAATGGCCTGAACCCGGGAGGCGGAGGTTGCAGTGAGCCGAGACCGCGCCACTGCACTCCAACCTGGGCGACAGAGCAAGACTCCGTCTCAAAAAAAAAAAAAGAGTTCTGGAGGCTGGGAGCCCAAGACCCAGGCCCCAGCAAGTCTGGTGTATGGTGAGAGCCTGCCCTCTGCTTCCAAGATGGCCTCTTGTGGCTGTGTCCTCACCTGGCGGAGGAGATAGAGGACGCGGAGGACTGAGGCTGGTTCCCTCCAGCCCTTTATGAGGCTCTCGTGTCTTGTGCAGGCCCGCAGGACCTGATCAACTCCCAACACCATGGTAGAGATTTGGAGGTATACGTTCAAACTGTAGCAGGGACCATCAAGAACATGGAATGTTTGAGACGGCGCAGACCGAAAATCTGGAATTTGTAGCTGCTGATTTTTCTTGCTTGTTTTCTCAGACCTTCTCTCCAGGAGCCATGCCCAGGGTGGTCAGAGGTGGTGAGTGAGGTGGCAGAAGCGAGTGCTGGGCAGGGGGCGCACTGCTGGGCACTCACTCCATACCTCCTGATGGGCACTGGCTGTCCCATCCCCCTTGGGATGAGGAGCCGGTGCCATCAGTGGCTGCACGGTCAGGGCGGAGAGTCCCCTCCTTCTGCCTCTGTGTGGAGGGCTGGGGAGACAGGGAGGATCTTTGTTCTCCAGCTTCCTGGCTTTGTAAGGCTGTGTGCCCCTCACAGCCCGAGCAGGTTGTCTGAGCAGGGCTCACTCAGCCAGTTTTTTCATGTGCCGTCGGCCAGCTCCCCTGTCTAGAATGCTCCAGTCCGTACTTTCCTAATAACCCTCTCTTCTGCAGGGTTGGGAGGGCGCTCACCAGAGGCAACAAGGGGTCTAGGGTCCCGGTGCTTCTCACACTGGCCTCCTCGCCTGACACACGCACGGAGCTTGCTCTGGCCATCTCTGTCCCTGCCTGTGCCATGGACATCCCTGCGCCCTGTGGGCCTCTGTGGCTTGGCCGGCCTGTGCCTCCCTGTGGCAGGAGGGAGGTGCTTGGCTCTGCTTGGCTGCCTGTTTCAACATGCACTGTGCTGCGCTCCAGGCACTGCCAGGCCCTTGGGGAGCACCCCCCACCCTTGACTGCTGCCTGGCCCTGCTGCAGAGCGGCCCACGGCCAGGGCCGCCTTGGCTGTGAGGGGACCCTGTGAGCCCCTCCCACATGGTGGATGGAGCTTGCGCTTTCTCAAGAGAGTAAACCCGTGTTTTAGTTTGACAAAAGCCAGAGGCTTTGGCAAGGGGCAGGTACAGATGTGGCTGAGACAGGGCCCTGGACGTTTGCTGAGTGACGTCAGGTCAGCTCGTAGGAGGCTTCCCTGACCTTCCAGGGTCTCACCGGCTTCCGGTAGCTGAGTTAACCCACCTCAGGTGCTGGAGGCCCTCCAGCTGTCAGCTGGGGTCCGTGCACCCCCCAGACTGCCTGGAGGGCTTCGCACACAGTTTGAAAGGCCTCTGCGCTTTGGAGCCCAATTTGGAACTTGAAGGCTTGACCTTTGTGTTTTGGACAACTGTTTTGTGTTTAACCTCAGATGGAAGTGACCATCCAACCAGAGTGATGGTAGCAGGAGCTGGGACGGAGCCCCGGGGCTGGCGCCCAGGGACAGGGGGCGCGAGGCGGATGGGTGGCGCAGTCCAGGCCAGCATCGGCCCCGTGGGCCTCGGTTTCCACCGTCTCTACAGCGTGGGTGGCCCCTTCAGTTCCGTGTGGCCTTCGCTAGCGCTGTTGGGCGCTGAGCTGTACAGCTGCCGTGTCTGTGGGCAGAAGTTTTTTCTCCTGCACCGACTGTGTCGTCCAGAGGCGTTCAGAGCCTGCTGTTTTCACGCTCTAGCCGCACAGCTGTGCCCGCGAGTGCGAGTCCCGCGTCCGAGGCCTCGGCGTGAGCTTACAGCATCTGTCGGGTCCGAGCAGTCAGTCCAGAGGGTCGACTCTGAATGAAAACAAAACGCCGTGGTTTGAAATGGAAGGAAACCTGGCCCCTGAAGGTGCGTAGCGTCCCCGCCACCCCGGTGCGTGTGTAGTGCAGCCTGGTGGTGCTGTGGATTGGAGGCCATCCTGTGTGGGCAGCACGGCAGCCAGAGTCTGCAAGGTCACGGGTGACACCAGACCGAGCTGGTGAGACCCGGACCTCCACGCCATCCAGCAGGGGCCCAGCAGACCAGCCACATCCTCATGCCGGGCCTGGGGCTTGTACGGACAAGTGATGTCCATGGGCAAATTCACTTTGATTTGAATGAAAAATAAGTTATGCATCCCTATTTTGTGACCAAAACATGTGGCCAGTTGTATCTTTAAAGATTTGAGTGGGGCTGGGCGTGGTGGCTCATGCTTGTAATCCCAGCACTTTGGGAGGCTGAGGCGGGAGGATTGTTTGAGCCCAGGAGTTTGAGACCAGCCTGGTCAACAAAGCGAGACCCCATCGCTACAGAAAATACAAAAATTAGACCGGCATGATGGTATGTACCTGTTGTCTCAGCCACTTGAGAGGCTGAGGTGGGAGAATTGCTTGAGCCCGGGAGGTCGAGGCTGCAGTGAGCTATGATTGCACCTCTGCACTCCAGCCTGGGAAACAGAGCAAGACCCTGTCTCAAAAAAAAAAAAAAAAATTATTCTTTAGAATTTTACTTCTCAGTGATTCACTTTTTATAGTAGAACCACAAAGACAGAAAATATGTCAATTCGTCTTTTGTCTATTTATTTATTTTTTTGAGACAGAGTCTCACTCTGTCTCCCAGGCTGGAGTGCAGTGGCCCAATCTCGGCTCACTGCAAGCTCCGCCTCCCGGGTTCACGCCATTCTCCTGCCTCAGCCTCCCGAGTAGCTGGGACTACAGGCGCCCGCCACCACGCCTGGTTAATTTTTTGTATTTTTAGTAGAGACGGGGCTTCACCGTGTTAGCCAGGATGGTCTTGATCTCCTGACCTCGTGATCCGCCCGCCCCGGCCTCCCAAAGTGCTGGGATTACAGGTGTGAGCCACCATGCCTGGCGTCAATTTGTCTTTTAGAGCCCAATAATATCCTTAGAAAAAAGGAGCTCTGTCCCCGAGGGCCATGTGCTTTTATAAAAATCAGTCGCTGGAAGTGTTTCCAGGAAGTGTTTGAGGTTCCCGTCTGTGGGGTGTTTCCTTGCTCTGGACGAAGGTGATTTGGGGAGTTTCTTGGGTCCTGTGGAATTGGTGAGCTTGTGCTCTAGGTCATAACTTTAGGTGGCCGAGGGTGCTGTGTCAGTGTGGCCTTGTCATCGGCATCATGGCGCCCCTGTGCCCTGCAGGCGTGGCCAGTGGCACCCACGTGCCCTCACAAGCCTGAGCCACGAGGTGAGGCGTCTGAAGCCAGCGTGGTGTGGTCGAGGAGGGGAGCCTTGACCCTGAGGAGGCCTGGAGGTGACCCGGCAGGTGGGGCTGGGTAGGAAGGCTGCTCCCAGTGGCAGTGGACGAGTGGCATGGACGGCGCTGGGCACCACAGACGGGGGACTTGAGGCAAGGACTGGGAGGTGGCGGGGGGTGGGGGCCCGGGAGTGCTGAGGGGCTGGTGCCCTGGTCGTGGCCATGGACTCGTGCCCCAGCTGGACACACCTGCTGGGTCTCAGGGCCCTGGAGACGCCCAAGAGAGCACGCCTGGGTGGATGGAGACTGTTTGCAGCTCAGAGTGCTCTGGTTGGGGGGTGCAGCCTGGGGGGACCCCCTATTCCTAACAGGCCTTGGGAAGGGAGGCTACTGAGTGAGATATAGCCGGGGGGCAGAGTGAGAAGGGGGTGGTGGCGGCACCTCCGGAGGGCAGAGGGAGGGCCGGAGCCTGGCACTCAGGGACCTGCTGTGGACAGGCCTGGGCGTGGCATGGGGGTACTGGAAGCTACTCGCCTGGGATGAGGGCGGGCCTTGCCCAGGGGAGACCCCTGTGTGTGCACCTGTTTGTCGCACGTATTTTGAGATGAGAAGGATTTGCATGTGTTTCTATTAGAGTAACTATTAGGGGAGGAGGTGCAAGGACAGAGAAGGTGGGAGCTGCGTCTGGTGGGCCCCTGAGGACACCGACGAGGTGGGGTTCCAGGGGCCTTATGGGGGCAGGTGGAGGAGAGACAGAGCCACCACAGGGCCTCAGAGGTGGCTGTGAGGTGCTTGCTGAGAGCGGCCCTGGGTGGGGCTGTTGTCAGAAGTGGAGGCACAAGGCACCCTCTCTGGACAGGCCACCTGCCAAGGACAAGACTGGGATAAGGCTGTCACCTGTGAGCCCTGGGCATCTTGGGGCTTGCTTAGGTGTCAGGTGCCCACCAACCTGGTCCGTTGGGTCTGGGCAGGGCCAGGCTGTGCGTCTCTGCCCACACCAGCTGGGCGGGGGCTGAGGAGAGCTGAGGGGCCAGCTGGTTGGGCTGGGGCGGGCATGGGCAGGGTCTGAGAAAGGGGCTCTGAGAGCTGTGGCTGGTGTACAGGGGACCAAGGCCCCTGCTTTGTGTGGTCTTGGGGATGGCCAGAGCCCCAGCACACCGAGCCCTCGATGGGTTGGTGGGATGCTGCCTCCTGTGTGATCTGCTAGAAATGCTTTAAGCCCGTATCTTTTCTATTGCAGACTTTAAAAAATTCAAAAAGCCTTTGCTCCCTCAATTACGAAGATGACGATGAGGATGACACCCCAGTGAAGACGGTTCTGTCCTCCCCATGTGACTCCCGGGGCCTCCCTGGCATCACCATGCCTGGCTGCAGCCAGAGGGGCCTCAGGACCAGCCCTGTCCACCCCAACCTGTGGGCCTCTAGGGAGTCGGTGACCAGTGATGGCTCCCGCAGGAGCAGCGGGGACCCCCGTGATGGGGACAGTGTCGGGGAGGAGGGCGTCTTCCCCCGGGCCCGCTGGGAGCTGGACCTGGAGCAGATCGAGAACAACTGAGGCTGGTGGGGGCTGGTCGGGGCCATGGCTGCCGCCTGCACCTGCCCTGGGGCACAGAGTAGGTTTCCTGTGAGCTGGTCGGGGCCACGGCCCGGCACCTGCCCTGGGGCACAGAGTAGGTTTCCTGTGAGCTGGTCGGGGCCACGGCTGCCGCCGGCACCTGCCCTGGGGCACAGAGTAGGTTTCCTGTGAGCTGGTCGGGGCCACGGCTGCCGCCGGCACCTGCCCTGGGGCACAGAGTAGGTTTCCTGTGAGCTGGTCGGGGCCACGGCTGCCACCGGCACCTGCCCTGGGGCACAGAGTAGGTTTCCTGTGAGCTGGTCGGGGCCACGGCTGCCGCCTGCACTGCCCTGGGGCACAGACTAGGTTTCCTGTGAGCTGGTCGGGGCCATGGCTGCTGCCTGCACCTGCCCCAGGGCACAGAGTAGGTTTCCTGTGAGCTGGTCGGGGCCATGGCTGCCGCCTGCACCTGCCCCGGGGCACAGAGTAGGTTTCCTGTGAGCTGGTCGGGGCCATGGCTGCCACCGGCACCTGCCCTGGGGCACAGAGTAGGTTTCCTGTGAGTTGGTCGGGGCCACGGCTGCCGCCTGCACTGCCCTGGGGCACAGACTAGGTTTCATGTGAGCTGGTCGGGGCCATGGCTGCTGCCGGCACCTGCCCTGGGGCACAGAGTAGGTTTCGTGTTGCTTGGAACATTAAGGCGTAATTTTGATTCAGTTTTTCCTAAAGAAGCATTTTGCATTTTTATGGCTTTTGCAGTTCGGGAGAAAGCTTCTCTATTTTGGATGCATTTCAGAAGGGCGTTCTATTAAACATGAATCTGCAAACAGATTAACATGCGTCTGTGTTCCCCACGAAAGGCCTGCTGTGCAGGGCGCCTTGTGTGCTTTAGTTGCTAGGAAACCCCGGGCGTTGGTGGTCAGAGTCCCACTGGCCCCGTGTGTCCCCCCCTCCCGACGGGTCACGGTGCTTGGGGCTTGCGCATGGGCATCTGTGCCCATGAACCTTGTCACCCACGTGCCAGTGAACCGCCAGCTTGTGGCCGCCTGGTTTTCCACCGGTGGCAGTGATGGCCTTTGGGGCAGACCAAGGTGCCATGAGTCCCTGCTTCCCGTGGCCTGGGAGGGCCCTTGCACCTTCAGGTGGGGTGTAGTGCCAGACCTCTGGGAAGGCTGTCCTGCCGGCAGCACCCGTCAGCACCCACTCTGTGAATTTAATACAAGGCCTTTGCTTTGTGCATACGACTTCTGATTAATTTTCGTTTCCACCATCTGAAGTGGGCCTGGCTGCGCCTCAGGCCTCTGGTCTCTGGCTCAGAACCAGACAAGGCAAGGGATTTCCTGTTTTTCATTCTTGCACTTTTAATAAAATCGTAGGGGTTTCGAGTTTGCGATAGCAAAAGAAAACATTAATACTTTTTTGAAATTTTCTTGTTTTTTTCTCAATACAATTCATGAAAGGTCATTGAAGTTAATCAATGCCACTTTCTTAACTGACATGGGCCACAGATCAAAGGTGGGCAAAGGTGGCGAGTGGTGTGGTTTTGTTGGATCAGCTTTCCTGAGGCCGAGCTGCTTGGGTGAAAGTGGGGTTCTGGCTCTCGGGTGACCCTCCTGCCTCTGCCCTGCAAGACGGGGGATGGCGCTGGGGAGTTTGGGGCCTTAGCAAGTGGGATCCCCCTTCCTGGCCAGGCTCTGCCCTCCTCCGTTGGGGCAGTGCCTACTCTCCTGCTGTGCTGGCCCGGGGTCAGGAGCCCTCCTGTCGTTGGCAGGCCCTGGGTGGCTCCTGTGCTGGGACTGACAGAACAGGGGCTCAAGAGAGTGTCACCTGCTCCCCAGAGCCACCCCTGGCCTCGTGTGAAGGGAAGGGAGGGCCCTGGCATTGGACTTTGACACAGTTGCCAGACTGCACAGGAAGGTTGTGTTTTGGATTAAATTTGTGGAGATCAGCTCCGGGTGGTTTAGCAAAAGCCACAGTCACCTGCGTAGTCATCCAGGGTGCTGGGATTTGGGGTGGGGCGGGCGGTGCTCTGAGATGACTTAGTACAGGGCAGGGTCCCTCAGGTCAGAGGCTGGCTGTGGGGCTGGAGTGGCCTCCAGGGCACCGGCCACTGGTCTGCAGGACATGGCAATCTGGACAGCAATGGGAGACAGGGCTGTGGGGCTGGCATGGTGGTGGTGTCAGGCCTGCCAGGGTCCCACAGGGCCCTCTGCTGCAGGTCGGGGAGGGCGTCAGAGATGAGGCAGGGTGTGTCGCTGTGGCTGCAGAGGGGCCCGAGGTCCCCACCAAGGCCTGGATGCCCCAGGGGCAGGTGGGGCCTCGCCCCCTCCCTGCAGTCACTCTCTACGCTGAGTCCACCCGGCGTCCCCTCCCGCTGGATGGTGACCCAGGTTTGGGAGATCTGTCCACTGTGTTACCTGGAGTCTAGAACAGTTCCCAGCTGACTCTCGCTACCTGAGTCCCCTTCAAGGACAGGCAGGAGGAGGGGGGCCACTGACTGCTCACACCCCAGCCCAGGGGCCCCTCACCAGCTCTGAGCCTGGCCTGGGTGTGTGGGAGCGAGGGGATGTGGGGTGAGCTGGGGTTTACGTGTGCAGTCACCAGCCGCCCCCCACCCCTCCGACACTCCCCTTCCCTTGACGGAGCGTCTGGTCCTGCCTGCAACCCTTGGACTTGCCACCTTCCCCCAGGGCTTCCCCACCTCTCTCACCTCCTACCCTACCTCATCTCCTCCTTCCCCAAACCTCTGGCTCTCCTGGGCAGAACCTTTCCGGCTGGCTGGTGAGTGGGGCTGGAGGCTCCTCCTGAGGCCCGAGCCCAGGGCCATTCCCCTCGGTGCCCTTGATGTAGGGTGTCTGGTTGGTGGGGCCCTCGGTGGGGCAGTGCAGCCGGTTCTTCTGCAGTGCCGACCTGCTGTGTCCTCTGCGGGTGGGGAGACTGAGACGGAAGGTTCAGGGCACCCTTGGGTCCCCTGTCTGCCTAGCACAGGGTGGCGTGTGTGTGCGAGTGAGCTCACAGCCCGGCCCCTGGGGCTTGTCCCCAGGGCTGTATTTTCCCTTGGGCGTGTCTGCGTGTTTCCTGGAATGGGGGGCCAGGACCCTCACCAGGGGCATTTGAGTCCCTTGGTTGGCCCTGCAGGGTCACCTGCCTGAGGCCGGGGGCAGCCTTGGGGGTTGGCCTGCTGCCTCGTGTGGATGCTTGGCCCCTTGGGGATGGAGAGAGGCTGCTGCTGAAGCTGCAGGAAGTTCTGGTGGGGTGGGGGCTGCTCAGCTGTGTCACCCACGGTGGGCCTGGACTTGGTCTTTCCTCGACTAGCCACAGGCAGGGGGTCCCAGGGCCCTCTGGGGTGACCCCAGAGCCGTGGACAGGTGGATGGGAGGAATGGGGGGCCTGAGGCACAGTGCAGCCCCTGGGTCCCTGGGACCTGCTTTGGGCACCCACCTCAGCGGTCAGCCCGTGTGGGATCCACTGGGCTGGGCAGACATGGTGGGAGGGCCGGGGTTGTGCCTGGTACCCTGGGACAGCTCCCTTCCTGCGCTGGGGGCCTGTGAGGCCACTCCTCAGTCCCAAGGCTGGGATCCTTCAGACAGGCCCCTCCCTGCCCCTAGCCCCCAGCACTGCTGCAGTGGCCCACCCCTGCCCACCCCTGCCCACCCCTGCCGGGCTGCCCCCAGCCCTCCCCCTCTCCTGGGGCCTTCCCCACTGCAGGGCTCCTGTCCCTGTGGAGGGCTCCTGAGGGGAAGAGGCTGAGGCGAGGTGGGGCAGGGATATGGGGATGAGAGAGGGATGGCTTCCCCACCCTTCCCAGAGCATCCACACCTATGTCTTCTCCTGAATACGTCTCCATCCTCCCCCAGGCTCCCTCTGTCCCTCGAGGGCTGGCCTCACCCCCAACCGTTCCCTCCAGCCCTGCCCAGAGCCTCTGAAGACCCGGGGAGGTGGGGACGGCCTGGCTGGGAGCCTCCCTGGCAGCGTGGGGTGGCAGCCTCTGTGCCAGGGCCTCAGAGCCAGCCAGTCCCCTGCAGTCACAGGCCCCGTGCTTGTCTAACTTTTTGTTCCTTATCCTGGGCCTATTCTCTGGCCATCCCCGCCCCCACCCCCCACCCGAGCATGGGTGCCGGAGGCATGGCAGCCCAGCCCAGCTGAGAGCCCCGGACCTCCCTGTGCCGAGAGCTTGTCTGCCCAGGCACTCCCCAGCCCCAGACGGTTGTGGCCCTCACCAGGCAGCCCTCACCAGGAGAGGAGCCTGCCCGTGCTCTGGTGCAGCGGGAGCTCCTTGTTCTCGTGCTCGCCGCCGCATGTGCAGCTCAGCCAGTGCCCTGGGGGGAGGAGGGGCAGATGCTGGGGCCATGGGTAACACTGGAGGGGCACCTTCGCTGTTCCAGCCCTGCAGATGGGACCCCCCCCCAGCAAGAGCAGGAATTTCAGCTCTCCTCCTGGCTGGCCTTTGGGTGGAGGGAGGGAGGTCTCCCTTGAGGACCCTGGGCCCCATGCTAGCCCCGTGGCCTCCCGATGCCTGGTCTGGCAGACGCAGACGCGGACCCCTCTGTACCCGAAAAACCCAGGTCTTGGGCAGGCACGCACTTTCTCCTCTGACAGAGGTGGATTGGCCAATTCTTGGCTGCTGCTCTAGACTCAGGAGGTGAGGGCATGGGATCTGGGGAAGTGAGTTCCACCCAGGACAGCCAGTGTGAAGGCCCTGAGGGACGAGTGAGCCAGGTGCCCGAGGCCGTGGGCTCAGGTGGAGAGCGCAGGAGTGAGTCCACGTACAGCGGGAAGCTTGAAGCGCGAGGACGGACGGGATCTCCCGTGAACGGGGCAACACCACAAAGTTAGCTGTTTCCCAAAGCAATGCACTGCCGCAAAACCCAGCCAACTGCGAGGAGAAATTCACAACCCCCGTCCTAGGCAGAGGTCTCGTAATCCTCTTGGTGGTTAATCGGTCAAGTAGACTCAAAAGGAAACAATAAGGATACATGAGGTTTGATGGTGCTGGCTCCTGGGCTTGAGCGGAGGGGTGTCTATGGAATGGGGCTCACCCAGCTGGGAAATCACATTAGTTTCAGGCACACATGGAGCCTATCAGAAATGGACTATTTATAGGCCAGAAAGCAAATGCCAGTACATTTCAAAGAATTAGTATCATGGCCGGGCGTGGCGGCTCACGCCTGTAATCCCAGCACTTTGGGAGGCTGAGGTGGGCAGATCATGAGGTCAGGAGATCGAGACCATCCTGGCTACCAAGGTGAAACCCCATCTCTACTAAAAATACAAAAAGAAAATTAGCCGGGCGTGGTGGCGGGTGCCTGTAGTCCCAGCTAGTCGGGAGGCTGAGGCAGGAGAATGGTGTGAACCCAGAAGGCAGAGCTTGCAGTGAGCCGAGATCGCGCCACTGCACTCCAGCCTGGGCGACAGAGCAAGACTCCATCTCAAAAAAAAAAAAAAAAAAAAAAAAAGAATTAGTATTATACAGGTCCTATCTTCTGACCACAACTCAATACCAAAAAGCAAACAAAACCTCATGTGTTTCAGAAATTCCAAAAATGCACTTGATGTAACTCATGGGTTATAGAAGAAATCAACGGAAGTGAGAAAAGACTTAGAACCGTTGGCAGTGGGCGCGGCAGATCCGTGCTTGTGGAGTAGATCCCAAGTGGTGTGTAGAAGGGAATTTACAGTCCTCAGTGACTGTATTAGAAGAAATAGGAGTGAAAAATAGCTGGGCACAGTGGCTGGCGCCTGCAGTCCTAGCACTTTGGAAGGCCAACAGCGGGGAGGATTGCTTGAGTTCAGGAGTTTGGGACCAGCCTGGGCAACATAGCAAGACCTCGTCTCTACTAAAAATAAAAAAATTAGTTGGGTGTGGTGGCTCATGCTTGTAGTACCAGCTTCTTAGGAGGCTGAGGTGGGAAGATTGTTTGAGTCCCGGAGGTTGAGGCTGCAGTGAGCCAAGATCACACTACTCCACTCCAGCCTGGATGACAGTGCGAGACCCTGTCTCAAAAAAACAAAACAAAACCCAGAAATGAATGAAACTGACAACAAAGCCACAGCGGAGAAGACCCACAAGGTTTTCTTTGTGAGACCAAATAACTGGCAAAAGTCTTTTAGCTTAATTGAGAAAAGGGGAGAATGAGCAAATAAATACTACTGGGAATGAAAAGAGAGGCAGAACTAGAGATGCAGTCTGGATTATAAAGATAGAGGATATTATGAATGACTTAGAGGAAACAGACAAATTCCTGGAAAAAATTGCTAAAAACTGACTCAAGGAGAAAGAGAACCTGTAAATAGTCCTGCAGCCACTTACCAGAATGAAACAGTAGTTTAAAATCTTCCTGCAAAGAAAGCCTCAGCCCCAGATGATTTTATTTTTTTATTTTTTTTTTTTTGAGACAGAGTTTCTCTCTTGTTGCCCAGGCTGGAGTGCAGTGGTGTGATCTTGACTCACTGCAATCTCTGTCTCCTGGGTTCAAGCAGTTCCCCTGCCTCAGCCTCCCGAGTAACTGGGATTACAGGCGCGCACCACCATGCCTGGCTAATTTTTTTGTGTTTTTAGTAGAGACGGGGTTTCACCATGTTGGCCAGGCTGGTCTTGAACTCCTGACCTCAGGTGATCCACCCACCTTGGCCTCCCAAAGTTCTGGTATTACAGGCGTGAGCCACCATGCCTGGCCCCCAGATGATTTTATAGACAACCTCCACAAAATGCATAAGGGAGGAAATTCCAGCCTTTCATAATTCCGTTCAGAGAATGGAAAAAAAAGACCGTGCCCAAATTATGTCCCAGGCACGTATGATCTTGATGTGAAACCAGATGGGAACAGGGGAGGGAGCTGCTGGTTGATGGCTGAACATGGTGGCCGAGGTGGTGGCCCTGAGAGCTGTATTAGACCTCAGGGCTGACTCTGCCCCTTCCCTGCTTTCCTCTGTGTGTGTGGACGGGTGTGGAGGGGTTGTGGGGGCAGGGATGGAGCTCAGAGGGTAACAGGAGCCCTCAGCAGAGACCTCTTCCCTCCTGCCCACCCTGCCCTGTCTCCACTGGACCCCATACAGGGGAGTCCTGTTTGCACGAAGCAGCTTAGACACCTCCTGCCACACCCCGAGGTCAGGGTCACAGGCAGGCAGAGTCCACTGTGGGCTCCAATCCAGTTTCCCGGACAGCCAGTGAAGAGGCCCCGGTTCCCTCACAGGCTGCAAACCCCGCACTCCCTCTGCCACCTGCTACTCACTGCCAGAGAGCCCCTCCCTGGGCCCCTCCTGGTGTTCTGCTGGTCCTCCCGGGTGTCCCTGAAACCCCGGGCGCTCCCCCAGCCACAGCCTCATTGCCCTGAATGGTGGGTTCTGCGTTGGTGCTGAACAGGAAGTGAGGTCCTGTAGCCAGACCCCCCAGTCATGCCCCCTTTTCTCTTTTCCTGCAGTTATGGATATAGATTTTTTTTTTAAAACCTCTTTAAGTTAATTCTGGTAATGTATATGTTCTTGGAGAATGGTCAGTTTTGTGAGGAATATCGAATGCATTAGCTGTCACTTTCAATCTCCTGGGCTGCTCTGATCCCCTCTCGGTCCCGGGCTCCCTTGCTTCCCCGCTCTGTTGATGAGATGCTTGGAGCCTTGCTTATTTTATTTATTTATTTATTGGGAAGAACCGGCTCTTGGATTTACTGATGGGCTCACCCATTCTTCTTGTTTCCAATTCATTAATTCTGCCTTTATCTTCATTCCCGCCTCTCCTGCCTCCCGTGAATCTGCTTTATGGTTGTTTTTCCCTCCTGTGTCGAGTATTTTGTTCATTTATTTCCAGTCTCTCTTGCTCAGTAATAAAAGCATTTAAAGTTGTGAATTCTCCACCAACTCCTCCTCCATCTGGCTTCGTGGACCTGCAATTTCTCTTTCCATATAATTATAAAATCGTCTCTTGAGGCGAATTTTATTTACCCTCTGACCCAGGAGTTGTTTAGAGCATTTCTAAACTTTCAAATCATCTGGCTGCTTCTTTAGACCTTTGCATTCATTTCTAGGTTTATTGCATTGGTGTAAATTATGGTTTAAATAATGAAGCCTGTGAGTGTTTCACCGTTTGGAATGCAGGGAGATATGCGCTCGTGTGTGTGAGCATGAGTGTACCTATGCATGTGAGCACGTGTACCTATGTGTGTGAGCATGAGTACCTATGTTTGTGAGCATGAGTGTAAAGCTATGTGTGTGCACATGAGCGTGTACCTATGTGTGTGCGCATGAGCATGTACCTATGCGTGTGAGCATGAGCGTGTACCTATGCGTGTGAGCACGAGTGTGTACCTATGCCTGCGTGCGCCCTGTGCACATGCATGTATGTCTGTGCACGTGTGTGCATATGTGCCTACAGGCATAACTACATGTGTGCCTACATTTTCTGCATGGGAGTCTGTGTGTAAGTGTACCTGTGTGTGTGCACGTGTAACTGTGTGTCCACAGGTATTTGCAGGTGGGTCTGTGTGCACATGGGCATGTGTGTCCATGTACAACTGTATAATATGCACACGTGTGAGCACTGTGTAGTGTGTGCCTGCGTGGTGTGTATACACAGGCGTGCAAACTGCCCACGTGCATGCACGCCTGTGGAGCGTTCTGTGGCTTCAGACGGCTGCTGAGTCAAGGATGGTGATGAGAGGACTCAGGCTTCGTTCCAGCTTTGTCCCCGTGGCTCTACTCTAAGGGCGCAGATGATAAAACGTCACGAATGGGTGTTGCTTTTATTATTTGTTAGTTGTCTGTTGAGACGGTCATGTGACAGTTCTCTTGTCATCTGTGGGTCGGTCTTCTTGGGGGTCCATGTCAGAATACTGCACAGTGGGCTTAAACAGCAGAGCTGTCTCTCCTCCCAGTTCTGGAGGCTGGAAGTCCGAGATGGAAGCATCAGGAGGGCCACTTTCTCCCAGGGCCTCGCTCTGTGGTTCAAAGGCGGCCACTATCTCCCTGTCTGCACGTGGTCGTTTCTCTGTGTGTGTCTGTGTCCTCATCTTCTTCCTCTTCCTATGAGGACACAGGTCAGATTAGATTAGGACCGACTCGTGTGACCTTATTTAACCCTAACTACCTCTTTAGAGACCGTATCTCCAAATACTAAACTTTTTTTTTTTTTTTTTTGAGATGGAATCTTACTGTGTCACCCAGGCTGGAGTGCAGTGGAGTAATCTCAGCTCACTGCGACCTCCACCTACCGGGTTCAAGCGATTCTCCTACCTCACCCTCCTGAGTAGCTGGGATTACAGGCACGTGCCACCACACCCCTATAATTTTTTGTATTTGTACTAGAGACGGGGTTTCATCATGTTGGCCAGGCTGGTCTCAGACTCCTGACCTCAAGTGATCCACCCATCTTGGCCTCCCAAAGTGTTGGGATTACAGGCGTGAGCCACCATGCCTGGCCGTGGCTTGGATAATTTTTAAAAGTGAGGAGCAATTTTTTTGTTGCTGTTTCCTTGTATATCATGTGTCCCCCGTCCTCAGGAAGCTTTTAAGATCTCTGTATTTTTGGTTTTCAGTGGGTTGCCTGTGGGAGCGGCTTTTCTGTGTGTTTATTCCACGTGTTTGCTGGTTGATTTGGCTGTTTTTTTTAGCTTCTTGAATCAGTGTTTCTATAGCTTTTTCCTTCTGTAGGGTGCCTCAGTCTCCCCACTCTCTTTCTCTGGGGCGTCTCAGAGGCTGCCCAGTGCACCGTGGATATGGCACCTTCCCTCTGTGGTTGGGCGCCTTCAGCTCAGAGGCTGTTTCCCTGGGACTGCTGTGTGCCCTTCCCTGAGGAGTTCCCAGGCAGCGGGGGACACACTCCAGGGACAGGAAGCCGTAATGCCCGGCACAGGAGCCCCACAGTGCTGTCCCTGGACTCTCAGAGGTTAGCATGTGTGGGAACGGCCTGGGCTGCAAGCTGGCCTCACTGCCCCACACTGAGGCCCAGAGACCTGGCCTTGCCTGGGACATGGGGTTGATGGAGACCTTTGCTGCCCACAGCAGGCCTGGGGCTGCCTCTGGCTTGTCCACCGCTGCTATTGCAGCTCCCGGGGCAAAAGGCTGCTGGGAAGCCCCAAGCAGGGTCTCCGCCTGCCTCAGCCCCGCTCCAAGTCGTATGCCTCTCAAGTGACAGGTGGCAGAGTCAGAGCCATCCTGACTCCAGTCTTTCTCCTCTAAAGTGTTATAATAATTTATTGGAAACATTGTTTTTATTGTTAGTATTAATACATTTATTAATTTATTATTATATTATTTTTGAGACAGGGTCTCCCCCAGTCACCAAGATTGGAGTGCAGTGGTGTGATCATGGCTCACTGCAGTCTTGACCTCTGGGGCTCAAACAGTCCTCCTGCCTCACCCTCCCAAAGTGCTGGGACTGCAGGCGCGTGCCATGGTGCCCAGCCTCAACATAAAATTTAGTGTTCAGTTAACTGGCATTTAGTACATTCGTGAGATGGTGCAGACACCGCCTCTCTCTGGTTCCAAACCATTTTATCCCATCGCCCAAATGAGCCCCCTCCCCACGAGTGGGCGCTCCCCACCCTGCCCTGCCCTGGCAGCCTCCCCTCCGCTTGTTGTCTCTGTGGAGCTGGGCATTTCGTAGACGTGGGATCATGCTGTGCGGGCCTTTTCTGTCTGGCTTCCACGATGGTGTTTAGAGCAGGCTCCTGGCCTGTCTTGGGAGTGGCGGTGAGGCTGAGGGGAATTGCTGAGCCTGCCTCAGGTGTGGGACGGACTGGCTGAACGGGGCCCGGGGCGTGTATTTTTGTAGACCCTGCTCTTGCCTGTGTGTCCCCATACACGATTCGTGACACGTGATCCATGAGTTGGGGGTCGGCAAACCGCGGCCCACTGGCCACATACAGACGCGGCCTGTTTCCGTAGAGTTTGATGGGAACTCCCCGACGTGCATTTGTGTAGACCTTGGCTGTGGCTGTTTCGGCTGCAGTGGCAGAGGTGAGTGGTCTCAGCAGACACCATGGGGGCCACAACACCAAGGTGGGCTCTGACCCCCTGGTCACGGGCAGCTCAGAGGACAGGGTGTCTCAGGCCCCTGCAGCAGGTGGCACCAGGGCCAGGCTGTCTTGTGCACCTGCCTCGTGGGCAGCTCCGACAGCTTGGAAGGGGATGACCTACCCCTGTGTGTGAGGAGTTGGTCCCCTTGTCCAGGACTCATACCCTCACCACACCTGGCAGGCAGGCAGCCGGGTGAGGTGTCCAGCGGGGTCTCACTGTGGTCTTTTTGTGCTGGGCGGAGGGGGAAGCAGGGGGACATGGGGAAGGATGAGGAAGGGAGCACAGAAGGGAAGGTCTGGGAGAGGGGAAGCTCCATCCGGCATCTGCTCAGGCCAGGGCCCATCTGAATAAACCACAGCTTTAAGCCGGGGTGTGAGGCCCAGGCTGTCCCCAGCGAGGCCGTGTGTGGTGGAGCTGGGCCAGCCCTCTGGCCACAGAGATGAGCTGTGGGTGGGCCGGGGTGGGCCCAGCCTTGTTCTCAGAGCTGCTTCCGGGACTAACTGCCTTCGGAGACTCAAACGATCCTCCTGCCTCAGCCTCCCAAAGGGACCCCAGGTTGGGTCCCTCTTCCCAAGGGGCTGAGTCTGGGCCTGAGAGCCCTGCTCTGGGAGTCCCCCTTGTACTCTTCACTGAAGCTGGGCACTGGCAAGGCCCTGCCTTAGCCCTGGGCAGCTCCTGTCTGCTGAGGACCCGTGCGGGCAGCCACAGGCAGGATGAGGGGGTGGCCCAGAGCTGGTGGAGCCTGGACAGGCCCAACCCCAGGCCAAGGCCATGGCCAGTGGCCCTCAGGACGGACATGTCTCCTACTGCCCCCTGGCCAGGCCTCCAGGGCACAGTCGAGGCCCAGGACTGACTCGGGCCACCCTAGAGGGGTCCTGAGGCCCCAGGCTCCGCTTTCCCTGGCGGGCCCAGCTGCCGGGTGGTCTGGCCTGGCCTGAGGCTTCGCCCGCACTTCCCCTGGAGGCCGCTGGGTGGCAGCAGAGATTGACTCTAGGTGGTGGCCACAGCCTCGGCCTCCCTCTGTGGGCCCTGGAGTCCTGGTGGAGAGTGCAGACCCCCTGGGGTCCCAGGTGCGGTGGGGATGGGGCTCCCTCCACCATGGGTCTGGCCCACTCTAGTGCCCCAGGGACCCTGCTCCTTCCTCTTCCCAGCTGGGCTGGGCGAGGTATCCGCCTGGAGGGGATCGAGGTGCTGTCCCCCAACGCAGGCATGGCGCACATCCTGGGGTGGACGTGGGTGAGAGGAGAACCCCACGGCCCCTGCCTCCTGGAGACCACGCGGTCACGGGGACTCATCGTGGATTTAAGGCACACAGGGCCCCAGGGGAGAAGGTACTCAAACTCAGGTGTTCCAAGGCCCCCTTATCTTGGGCTACGGAGTAGGGGACCCTGCAGTGGGCGAAGCCTGGGGAGTCTTAGTGCAAGTGTGTGCCCTCCCCCCATGCCAACCTCCCCCATGCCACCCTCCCCCATGCCACCCTCCCCCCATGGCACCCTCCCCCCATGCCACTCCCCCATGCCACCCTCCCCCCATGGCACCCTCCCCCCCATGCCACTCCCCCATGCCACCCTCCCCCATGCCACCCTCCCGCCATGCCACTCTTCCCGTGCCACCCTCCCACCATGCCACCCTCCCCCATGCCACCCTCCCCCCATGCCACCCTCCCCATGCCACTCTCCCCCATGCCACCCTCCCCCCGTGGCATGCTCCCCCTGCCACCCTCCCCCCATGCCACCCTCCCCCCGTGCCACCCTCCCCGCCCAGGTGCGCCCTCCCTTCGTGCCACGCACCCCCCGAGGTGCACCCTCCCCCCATGCCACCCTCCCCCATGCCACCCTCCCGCCATGCCACTCTCCCCGTGCCACCCTCCCGCCATGCCACCCTCCCCGTGCCACCCTCCCGCCATGCCACCCTCCCCCATGCCACCCTCCCCCATGCCACCCTCTCCCATGCCACCCTCCCCCATGCCACCCTCCCCATGCCACCCCCCCCATGCCACTCTCCCCCATGCCACCCTCCCCCCGTGGCACCCTCCCCCCGTGCCACCCTCCCCGTCCAGGTACACCCTCCCCCCATGCCACCCTCCCCCCGTGCCACCCTCCCCCTATGCCACCCTCCCTGTTCAGGTACACCCTCCCCTGGGCCACCCTCCCTGCCCACGTGCGTGCCCTCCCCCGTGCCACCCTCCCCGCCCAGGTGCACCCTCCCTTCATGCCACCCACCCCCTGAGGTGCACCCTCCCCCCGTGCCACCCTCCCCACCCAGGTGCATGTGGGTTGACCCCAGGGCCTATGGAATCCTCTCAGCCTCATCACTGGATGCTGCCGTTGACAGGAGGACCCTGAAGGTAGATGGGACTTGCCTGCGGGCATCAGCTCACAAGCAGAGCCTGTCTCTCCCAGAGTCACTTCATGGTGGGTGGGAGGCTCATGGCTCAAGCTCCAGGCCCCCTGCATGACCTCTGGAGGGGCTGCCCTGCTGAGTGGAGACCCCCAGGTGGGGCTGCTGCTGGGACACATGCCAGAGGGCAAGGGGGTGGTGGAGGGAGGGAGTGGGACCCTCTGGCCCTGGGCTTCCTCCCCGACACCCTTCCCCTGCAGGCCTCAGCTGCAGCTCTTGGCCACTTGGCCCCAGTGTGGACACTGTCTCTGCCCTGGAGAATGTGGAGAGGACAAGAAGGATCAGGCCCACGGCGGATGGGAGCCCCAGCTCTCCACCATGCTGTGGGGAGGGGTCAGCCTGGCAGGGTCTGCTGGGGAGCTGTGGCCAGGTGGGCTCCAAGCAGGGGACTGGGTGTGTGTGGCACCCCAGGGTGCTTTCCATCTGAGTCTCCAGCGTAAGCAGCCCCGTGGTTATACAAGTGACTGTGGTCCATAAACATTCCGGGAGGTGTATCCGTCAGTCGGCAGTTCACGGCTGCTCTGTCACCCGAGGGCGTGAGCTACTCAGGGAACAGAAACACCAACCAAGCGGCCACCATGGCCTCAGCAGGATCAGGCCCTGCCTGAGCACTCTGGGTGCCTTGGGGTCAAATGGTAGTGGTCGTGTTCCCTTCTCCTGCTGGGCTGGGCCCTGAGTGCCCAGTGCTGGGGCCGGTGGGGACCTGGTTGGCTGAGGGAGGCTGTGTGTGAGGGTGCAAGGCCAAGCTGGACGGCTTCCTGGGGGCCGACCTGGGGGCACCGGAGCGAAGCCCCACCCTCCTGGCCTGCGTCCACATGGCCACGCTTGGTCCTGTGCCTCTGGCTGGCCTCACTGGGCCCATGGTTGCCACTCTTTGCCAAGCCTTAGTCTGTCCTGTCCCACAGCCCCTGCCCTCAGGCAGCCTCCAGGCCAGGCCCCCACCCTCTCCATCTGGAGGCTGGGGGAGGGCTGGCCCCTCCCCACATACAGGCCACAGAACCTGTGATTGAGCCCTGGCCAGGGGCTCAATCAGTTGGATGAACAGTGGGTGGGTTTGTGATGGAGACTCAGGGCTGTGTGTTGGCACTGCCAGGCTGAGTCTCTGGGCTCAGGGCATGGCTGTAGCTGAGAGTCTACACTGTCCTGGGTCCCCCAGACTCAAAACATCACTGTGGCTGAGAGTCTGCACTGTCCCGGGTCCTCCCCGGGTCCCCCCGGGCTCAGGGCATGGCCGTGGCTGAGAGTTTACACTGTCCCGGGTCCCCCAGATGCAAAACATCACTGTGGCTGAGAGTCTACACTGTCCCAGGTCCTCCCCGGGTCCCCCCGGGCTCAGGGCATGGCTGTGGCTGAGAGTCTACACTGTCCCGGGTCCTCCCCTGGTCCCCCCGGGCTCAGGGCATGGCCGTGGCTGAGAGTCTACACTGGGTCCTCCCCGACTTCCCCGCTGGGTCTGGTGATCGGGGTTCTTCCTGTTCTGTGTGACTGGCAGCCTCTGGTCTGCGTCGGGCTCCCTGGGCTCTGCTGTCTGGGTCAGCTTCTGCTGTGAGATGCTGTGGAAGGAAAGCCCACGTGGACGGCTCGTGACGGCCACCGTCTGTTCATGCTCCATGCAGCTGTAGTCACTTGGGCTCAGCTTGGGGTAAGGTCCGGCCTGACCCCTACCTCCTCCTCCTGGGCCAACCGCCCCTGGCTTGCTCTGCTCCTGGTGTGGGCAGAGCACAAGACGAAAGCCCTATGCACCAGGGTCATCCAGGAGCCAGATGGAGACAGGAACAAGGCCCAGAAGGACGGCAGGGGCTCACACCACTTCCCCTGCACCCTGGCAGGCAGCCACACCGAGTCGGGGCAGGAAAAACATGCTGGGCCGCCTCCTGGAAGGCTCTGCAGAGGATCCTGTGGAGGATTCTGATGGGCGGATCCTGGGGAAGGGGTTGGAAGCCCAGATCCCACCCGCTGAACCTGCCTCTGGGGTCTCTGGACAGCTCCTGGCTGCCCAGACATGACCTGTGCTGGCCAGGGCGGTGGCTTCAGTCTCCCCCAAGGCTCCACTTGGCGTGACCCTGACCACGTGGGCCGGGACGTGGGGCCTTCTGATCACCTGGCGTGACCCTGACCATGTGGGCCGGGACGTGGGGCCTTCTGATCACCTGGCGTGACCCTGACCACATGGGCTGGTACGTAGGGCCTTCTGATCACCTGGCGTGACCCTGACCACGTGGGTCGGGACGTGGGGCCTTCTGATCACCTGGCGTGACCCTGACCACGTGGGTCGGGACATGGGGGCTTCTGATCACCTGGCGTGACCCTGACCACGTGGGCCGGGACGTGGGGCCTTCTGATCACCTGGTGTGACCCCTGACCACGTGGGCCGGGACGTGGGGCCTTCTGATCACCTGGTGTGACCCTGACCACGTGGGCCGGGACGTGGGGCCTTCTGATCACCTGGTGTGACCCTGACCACGTGGGTCGGGACGTGGGGGCTTCTGATCACCTGGCGTGACCCTGACCACGTGGGCCGGGACGTGGGGCCTTCTGATCACCTGGTGTGACCCCTGACCACGTGGGCCGGGACGTGGGGCCTTCTGATCACCTGGTGTGACCCCTGACCACGTGGGTCGGGACGTGGGGCCTTCTGATCACCTGGCGTGACCCTGACCACGTGGGCTGGGACGTGGGGCCTTCTGATCACCTGGTGTGACCCCTGACCACGTGGGCCGGGACGTGGGGCCTTCTGATCACCTGGTGTGACCCCTGACCACGTGGGTCGGGACGTGGGGGCTTCTGATCACCTGGCGTGACCCTGACCACGTGGGCCGGGACGTGGGGCCTTCTGATCACCTGGCGTGACCCTGACCACGTGGGCTGGGACGTGGGGCCTTCTGATCACCTGGTGTGACCCCTGACCACGTGGGCCGGGACGTGGGGGCTTCTGATCACTTGGCGTGACCCTGACCACGTGGGCCGGGACGTGGGGGCTTCTGATCACCTGGTGTGACCCCTGACCACGTGGGCCGGGACATAGGACCTTCTGATGCCTTTTGGGCCCTTGGGTCCTTGAGTGGTTCTTCCAGGAGGGCCTCTGGGGGAGTCTGGAGTGTGCCCGCATGTCAGGGGAGAGCTTTGCTGTCATCTGGCGTGAAACACAGCATCTGGGACAGAATTCCAGGTGCCTTCTCAGCCAGACCCGCAGCGTGGCGGTACCTGGCGTGGTGGCGGGGAGGCGGGCTGGCCTGGCTGTGAGTCCTCACCTTTGGTTTGCGCGGAGGGTTCTGTTATTGCCTTTGAGGATGTAGATGTCTCCAGAGGGGCTGAGTGGGAATCTTCCTACAGGTTTTGCCTGGAATGGGGGCCCTGGAGTCCCTGCGCAGTCACCCCTGCCGTCCTTCTGGGCCTTGTTCCTTTCTCCGTCTCACTCCTGGATGACCCGTCAGCCTCCGCACTGTCACATTTGTGGTTCGGGGGGTCACGGCGCTTTCTGCCTCTTGAAGCACCAGTCCCCCTCAGAGCCTCAGTTTCTCCACTATGAAGCAGGGATACCTGTGTCTCCCTTGACACAGCGCCTGACCTGGGGGCATCCCTGGTGAGCCCTGCGTCCAGCCCCACCCTGCCTGCCGTGGGCCCTGCGAAGTGCTGGGCAGTGGACATGGCCACTGTGTCACAGACAAGATGAGGCCCAGGGACCTGAGCCAGTCGTGGCCCATGCCCATGCCCACAATGCCAGCCCTCCCTGGCCCCACTGAGCAAGGGGCTCTTCTATGCCTCAGGGAGGGGGCACCTGGCCACCAGTGGTCCCTGCAGACGACACAGCTGGAGTAGGACAGGCCACCCACAGCCTGCCCAGAAATGTGGGACGGGAATCTCAGGCCTCACACCCGCCCCAGGCAGGCATGGCCCCTGGGCCCTCAGGTATGCCCCAGGGTCCCGGGGGAGGCTTGGCCCCATCTCCTGGCCTGGGGGCTGTGCCCAGCCGGGCACCCACTTCTCCCCGCCCGCCAGAGAGGGAGCCCATCAACGCCACCCTCCTCAACTTTTTTCTCCTCCCCAATTAATTAATTTAAATTGACCATTAAGTCAGGCAAGTTTTTGATTGATATTTTCATTAGCAGCCCTGTCCGACGCCCCGGGAATGTATGGTAACGTCCGATCCGCGGCGGCCGCACTCCTCCGCAGGCTGAGTTATGGCTGGCATCGCGCGGCTCCCGGGGTAATTTGAATTCAGATGAGCTGCCGCCGTGTTCCGGAGCGGGCGGCCGTCTGCTGACGGATGGCACTTGGGTTACCGCAAGGTCACCGTGCAGCCGCCACCCACCGCAGGAGGGGCCGGCCAGGCCGCCGGGGAAGGCGGGCAGCCCTGCAGCGGGTGACCAAGTGGACTCCCGAGAACTGCCCAGCCGGTGGCCATCCGGTGAAAGCGCTGGCGAGCCCGGGGGCCTGGTGGCCTGAGACCGTGGCCAAGCCTCACAGCTGCCATCCCTCGGGGGCCGGAAACGCAACTCTGCTTGAGGCTGCCACAGCCTCCTCTCCCGGGGCTGCGGTGGGGGTGGGGGTGGCAGCAGGAGCCAGGCCTCTTCCTGAGGAAGGTGCTGCCCAGGACGGAGCAGCTGCCTTTCACGTCGGGGGAGCTTGGGCCCATCTCAGGGTCCACCTGCAGCTGGACACAGTCTCCTCTACCGCTGATGTCCCCGTCCTGGAGCGGGCATGCCAGGGCCCTGGCCGTGGACTGCTGGAGGGCTGGACCTGCCATACTTTCTGCTGCTCAGCGTGGGGGACCGCATGCCGGGCTGGTGGCCACAGTGGGAGGCACAGAGCCTCAGGTGCCACTGTCAGCCCTGTGACCGTGGGGGCTGCTTCAGCGCCTGTGCCTTCGTTTCCCCATGGGCACAAGAGCGATCGTAGGTTGCCTCCATCTGTGGTTTAGGGAGGGACACGCGGGAGGCCCAGGCAAAGCGTGAGGTTCATGCTGGCCGTGTGCGTGTGGCCTCCCCTTCCCCTTGGTGCTGACTTATCCTGTCCCTGGCAGGGGCCCCTCGAGGCAGAGGGTGGTTGCTTCTGGCCTCAGGCCTGGTGGGGGCTTCAGGAGACCTTTGGAGGGCTTGGAAATGTGGTGCCTGAGTCTGAGGGAGGCAGAGATGGCTGCGGGCAGGATCTGACTCCCAGCCTGGGCCCAGCCAAACAGCCGCTGTTCCCGACCTCCCTCCCCGAGCGAGCCAGCCCAGAGCTCCACCGTCCCCTCACAGCCCCCGCCAGACCCCCAAATGGGCATGCAGGGCTGGAGACCCTGCCCCTCTGCCCCTGTTTGTGTGTCTGAGGCCATTTAAAACGGGCACAGAGGGCCGGCTGTACTGCCAGTCACAGGGCAGGGCTGGTGGGGCGGCCCCTCAGCGGCAGTGCCCTGGGAGGGAGGAGGAGCCCAGTGGAAGGAGGTCATGGGAGGGGCCGTGGGGCCAGGGCCTGGCTGGAAGCCTGAGGGGCCACAAAGGAGTCCCCAGGGAAGGTGCCCACCCCAGCCAGATCCACCTTCAGCCGGGGGGCTCCTGCTGCAGTGACTCCTAGGGAAGCAGCCGCCTTTGTTCTGCCCCTGTCGTCACCCCCACACTGGGGGCTGCACTCTGACCGTCACGCTGGCTGGAGAGTATGAGCCGAGGCTGGCATCCTGATGTGACTCCGGGTCCTGCCTCTCTCCGTGCTGCTGCTGTAACGGCACCGTGTCTGGGTAACTGATCGTGAACAGGGGTCGGCGGGCTCAAGTTTCTGGAGGCTGGGAAGTCCCAGATTGCGCAGCCGCATCTGGAGGGTCTCTTGCTGTGTCGTCAGGTGGCAGAGGGCAGAGGGGAAGGAGGAAGGCGAGAGAGCAGATGGGGTCGGAACCTGCCCTTTAATATGTGCCCCGTTCCCAAGACAGCAGCATCGATTCGTTCATGAATGCGGTGCCGTCCGACCCAAACACTTCCCATCAGGTCCCACCTCCCCACACCACCACTGTGGGGATCAGGTTTCCAACACATGAGCCTTGGGGGACGCATTCACCCCACAGTGGGTGGGGAGCCCCATGGCCGCAGGGATATTCCCCCAACACGGTGCCAGGGACGGCACGGGCCAGACGTTCAGCCTGCTCTGTGTGACCTGCTGGTTCCTGCAGACCCAGGCTGGGGTCTCAGAGCTGGGGAAGGCAGGGACCTTGTGACAGCCTTGGATGGGGGGACTGCCCCAGTCCAGTGGGAGGGGCTGGCACTGCCTCCGTGACCTGGGACAGGACCCAGTGGAGCTAATCCTGATTCCCTCACCATCTTCGCTCCCCGCTGTGGAGGCTGGGTGGCGGCAGATCCACCCCACTGTCCCCCACCCCAAGCTGCTGGGCCCCACCTCCCAACCTTCCTTGCAGTGGAGTGTGGCCATGTGACTAAGTTCTGTCTGATGAGATGTGAGTGAAAGTGTTAGACAGGACTTTCAGGAAGACTCCTTAAAAGTAGCCGACTGACCGGGCGCGGTGGCTCATGCCTGTAATCCCAGCACTTTGGGAGGCCGAGGCGGGTGGATCACGAGGTCAGGAGATCGAGACCATCCCGGCTAACATGGTGAAACCCCGTCTCTACTAAAAAATACAAAAAATTAGCCGGGTGAGGTGGCGGGCGCCTGTAGTCCCAGTTATGCGGGAGGCTGAGGCAGGAGAATGGCATGAACCCTGGGGGGCGGAGCCTGTAGTGAGCCGAGATTGTGCCACTGCACTCCAGCCTGGGTGACAGCGAGACTCCATCTCAAAAAAAAAAAAAAAAAAAAAGTAGCGTAGCTGACTCAGCTAGGAAAAGGGTCCCCTGTTCTTTGTGTTCCTTCTTTCTTGCTTCCTGAAACTGAGGCGTGATGGCTGGGGCTCTGGCAGCCATTTGAACCATGAGGTGACCTTGGGCAGGAAGCCACATGCGAGGAGGTGGAGCAGAAAAAAGCCAGAGGTTGCCTACGTATGTGGTGACCCTGGGGACCCGATCCCAGCCTGGCATGGCCACCTCCAACTCTGGTCTCATGAGAGAGAAGTTGACTTTTGCTGTGGTTGCTGCTACCGTGTTGATGGCAGTGTTGTGTTTTGGTGTTGCTGTTGCTTATGTTGTTGTTGTTGGCAGTGATGTTATTTCTGTTGATGTTTTCATCATTGTTTTTGTTTTTGGTGGTGGTGGTGGTGGTGGTGTTTTTTCTTTCTTTCTTTTTCTTTTTTTTTGTGAGACAGAGTCTTGCAGTGTCACCTGGGCTTGAATGCAGTGGCGCAGTCTCAGCTCACTGCAACCTCCACTTCCTGGGTTCAGCCTCCCAAGTAGCTGGGATTACAGGCGTCCTATGTGGTGGTGCTTTTGTAGGTTTTTGGCATTGCTGATGGTGGTGGTAGTGATGACGGTCCTGTTGGTGGTGATGGTGTTTTGTATGCAGCCAGTACAATTCCTGACTGTGGCAGGAACCAAAGAGAATCCCCCCTCTGTGGAAACAACTCCCGGAAAGGCCTCCCTTGCTCCAAGACAAAGTGAGAAGACAGAGCTCAGGTGCTTCTGTGGGATGTCTGCGGAGGAGGGGCCATTTCCTTCCACAGCTGTGTCCAGGCACACTTGAGAAAGGTCTGTTATGGGAAATAAGATGACATTTTATTTATTTATTTATTTATTTTTAATTAATTAATTTTTTTTTTTTTTGAGACAGAGTCTCACTCTGTCACCCAGCCTGGAGTGCAGTGGCACGATCTCAGCTCACTGCAACCTCTGTCTCCCAGGTTTAAGCGATTCTCCTGCCTCTGCCTCCCCAGTACTGGGACTACAGCTGCCCGCCACCACGCCCGGCTAATTTTTGTATATTTAGTAGAGACGGGGTTTCACCATATTGGCCAGGCTGGTCTCGAACTCCTGACCTTGTGATCTGCCCACCTCAGCCTCCGAAAGTGCTGGGATTACAGGCGTGAGCCACCACGCCCGGCTGACTTGTTTTTTAATAAAGTATAAGGAAATGTGGAGACCATGAGGCGAGAGAGGACAGCTTAGATGATCGCAGGGCAGATGAAGTGAAGCAGATCCAGGTGCCAGTGTGGGCGAAAGGGACCTGACATGCCCAGGACAGGGCTTTGCGTGTGGACGCCGTGAACCCCCATTCCTGCCAGGGCCCTGAGTGGTACAAATGGAGCTCCAATGCACAGCAGAACTGGGATCTGTAGTAAAAGACAAAGCGCAAGGCCGGTGCCCGGTGCGTGAGTCAGAGACGCTGGAGATGAAGGGCGGGGGTGGTCACGGGAGGCCGGGGGGTGAAGACCTGAGAAGCCGATTGCAGGGTATAGACCCAGAGATAGGCCAGCACCTGGTGCGGGAGGGAGATGCGGCTTGGAGGAAAGTGCCCATGTCCACAGGTGCATGAGTCTGGGAACAGGGCGGGAAGGCCGGCCAGTCCTGAAGTGGGCCAACCCCAGAGACGCCGAGCTGGGCAAGGGAGCCCAGGCCATGCCTGCCATACCCCTCCATGCGCGCCACCAGCTGGCCCTGGCCTCTGCCCTCCTGCCTTGCCTGCCCTGGTGAGGCCGGGTCGTTGGCCGCCCTGGCAGTGCGTGCCGTTCCCTCTCCAGCTCCGTGTTTGCCCAGCCCCGGGCAGTGGTAAGGGGCCGCTCGCCACAAGGTGGGATCCTGGCAGCTCCTGCCTCAGCCTGTGGCTGCAAAGTTCAGTGACTCGTTAGTAACCTGCTTCACTTAGAAGGTGCTGGAGCTCAGGGAGGATGGGTGAGCAGCGTGGGCCCAGAGCCTGCCTGTCTTTGACCCCAGGAGGAAGAGAGCCCAGGCCGTTATGTGGGCTGCTTTGGGGTGGGGGCTCAGTGGACCCCCAGCTCTCACCTGTGGACGCTCTGCGGCATCCCCTTCCCCGTCTTGTTGGCAGCGTGGAGCAGCGTTGCTGGGTTGGGTGCAGGTTGATGTGTTTCTGTGCTGTGTTCACTGAGGTGAGCTTGTGGCTGCCGCAGATAAGCCCTGAGCCCTCGGGGGGCCGTGGAGGCCTCAGCCCAGCCCAGTGAGAGGGCTGGGGGTCGGGGGCTGGGGGTCGGGGCTGGCTTATCTGTGCGGTGGCATTCCCCCGCTGGGATGGTGCTGGGGTTGCACACAGGCCCGCATGGCTGGTTCTGTGGCTGGGTCCCATCCCTCCAGCCACGTTTTCCTGGCCATACCCCATGGCCTGGGAGGCCGGCGGCATGGAATCGCTTCAGCCCAGAAGGGAAAGGCATCTTTGGCGGCCACAGCCATGAGCCACAGTCCACCCCTCAGGCTGCCAAACAGCCTCCCCTCCCGTCTTCCTTCCCCAGAGCTGCCGTCCCCATGCAGCTCCAGCCCACACCTCCAGGTGGGCACAGCAGGGCCAGGAGACTCTGCCTCCCATCCCTGCTCACCTGTCTGGGGCTGTCTGAAGGGGGCCCTGGGGGCCCGGCTGTGGTACCAGCCCACTTCCCACCCAGGGACATTTGGGCCTGGAGCTGTGGTCAGGCCCCAACAGTTACTGGTGTTCCAGTCCGGGCCTGGTTTTCCTGGGATTCTGGCCAGGTCTTTGGCCATTCACTCACCCGCCTACCCTCAGACACACTTTCCCATGCCATCCCCACTGAGGGTGGCCACCTGGGGGCCACAGCCTGGATGCACCCCTGCCGTGATGGGCCTTCGGGCTCAAGGCCAGCCTCACTGTCTCTGCGAGGCAGCACGTGCCCTGTCTTCTGGTTCTACTTCTTCCCCAAGAGGCAGCACTCACCTGCCTCTGTCTTCCTTCCAGGTTGCCTCACGGACTGTTTCACCAAGTATGTTGCCATGACATAGCACGGCCCTCCATCTTCCCATCTTCACGGCATCTGACAGCCGTCTCCTCACTGGTCGGCTCTATGCCAAGCATTCGTGACACACGTCAGTTCTGTTGTGGTGGCACCATCGCAGCGACTTCTCTCTTGGTGAAGGAGTTGCTGCTGCTCACCAGCAGCTGCCGACTGCTCCTGGGTGCTCCTGACATGCAGGCGCTCCCTTCAAGGGGTGGGCGCAGGCACCCTCAGGCCTGAGGCTCTGCTGTCCTCACCGCTGAAAGAGAACCGTCAACCCAGAATGCTATACCCAGTGAGAAGACCGTTCAGGAATGAAAGGGGCGTCAAGACATCCTCAGATGAAGGAAAACCAAGCGTGTTTGTCACCAGCGGACCTAAAAAAGAGTGGCTAAGGCAGGTCTCGGAACAGAAATGGAAACAGTGAAAGAAGAAACCTTGGAACATCAGGAAGGAAGAAAGAGCGCAGTAGGCAGAATTATGAGTGAACATAATAGGTTTCCTTCTCCTCTTGAGTTTCCTAAATTATGTGTGATGGTTGAAGAAAAAAATTAGAATACCGACTGATGTGATTCTTGATAAATGTAAAGGAAATGTTTATGATATGTTATAGGTGGGGAACTAAATGGACACCAGGGAGGGAAGGCTTCAGCACTTCCCTGAAGCTGGTAAAATGTCAACACCGGCAAACTGTCATGAGCCACGTATAAGTAATAACCTAGAACAGCAACTAAAAAAGTGGATGAAGAGATGTACTCAGAAACACCATAAATAGCTCAACAGATAAATAACTCAACACATGATCCCAAAGTCATGAAGATACTCTCCTGTTTGCTAAAGTTAAGTTAAAATGGAGACTGAGCAGACAAAACATGCAGGCCTCATGAGTGTTGTCAACCTTGCTTGATTTGTAAATATAAATGAAACTTTTTTTTAAAATTTCAAGATGGAGTCTCCCTCTGTTGCCTGGAGTGCAGTGGTGCTATCTCAGCTCACTGCAACCTCCGCCCTCTGGGTTCAAGTGATTCTCCTGCCTCAGCCTCCTTAGTAGTTGGGACAACAGACACGTACCACCGTGCCTGGCTAATTTTTGTATTTTTTGTGGAGATGGTGTTTCACCCTGTTGGCCCAGCTGGTCTTGAACTCCTGATTTCAAGTGATCCACCTGCTTCGGCCTCCCAGAGTGCCGGGATTGCAGGCATGAGCCACGGTGCCCAGCCCATAAGTGAAACTTAATTTGAGCCTATATTAAAGAAAAACAGAGCTGAAGCTCAGCCAGCCAAAGCAGCCAAGAAACTTACATAACTAAGGCTTCTCCGCGGGACAGACCGAAGCAGGCAACAGTGTGACTGTCACCAATCCAAGCTTTTCTTTGGTTTACTTCTGCATCCTTCTTATCAAAGCCTTCACCCTGCATTCCCTCAACCACTTCTGGTTTGCAGCTGCTCAATTCAAGAATGTATTTGCTCAAATAAACTATTTTGCCTTTTAAACATGTGTTTTCCTAGAATAGTCACAGTTTTAGTTTTGTTGTTGTTGTTGTTTTGAGACGTGAGACGGAGTCTCGCTGTGACACCCAGGCTGGAGTGCAGTGAGATGGAGTCTCACTGTGACACCCGGGCTGGAGTGCAGTGGCGCAATCATGGCTCGGCTCCCGTGTCATCCAGCCTGCTGGGCGCCAACTTGCTTGGCCCCTCTTGATGGCCCTTGGGCTCAGTAGGGAGGGGTGGGACCTCCCCGCTTCCAACCTTGGCCGTGGGGACCTGCGTGCCTGGCTGAGTGAGCCGCTCCTGGGCTCCTGGCACTGTCTTCATCAGCAGTGCTGATGTGTCCTGTGACTTGCTTTATTTTGGGTTTGTTTCATTTTGTGGTTTTATTTTGTGTTTGATTTTGCATCTCATGTCGCTCCGCAGTCTCACATGCTTCCTCTCCTGGCTGTGCCCACCCCTTCGTCTTGCCGGTGTCTTGATTTCCTGCACCAGAACCTGCTTACTGCATCCAACATCCCCCATCCTTCCTTCCTGGAATCCCAGAATCTCTCACACAGTGGCTGGCCCAGCACCCAGGGGTGATGACAGGCAGGAGGCCCCTTGAGCTGTGGCAGGTTGGTCTCTGTTGAAACAGCCAAACGGATGTCTCTGAAACATCGCCATCCACAGCCTTGCCCATCCCTGCCCAGCCCCTGCCCTAACGTCGCTGCTCTGTCTTTGCTGCATGGCGGCTTTGGAGAAAAGTGCATGGTCCTTCATCTGTGGATGCAGCCAATCCCTTGTTCGGATTCTGCATTTGCACATTTGCCTCCTTGATAAAGTGGCAACCCCCAAATCAGTACTTGTGGTGCTTTTGTGGTCATTCTTGGACATGTGAGGAGCAGCAAACAATTCGGGCCATCCCCTGTGTGCGCCCAGGTGGGATGGGCGTGGCTGCATCCTGTCTTCCATGTGTGCCCAGGTGGGATGGGCGTGGCCACATCCTGTCTTCCGTGCGTGCCCAGGTGAGGTGGGCGTGGCCGCATCCTGTCTTCCATGTGTGCCCAGGTGGGATGGGCGTGGCCACATCCTGTCTTCCGTGCGTGCCCAGGTGAGGTGGGCGTGGCTGCATCCTGTCTTCCATGTGTGCCCACGTAGGGTGGGTGTGGCCGCATCCTGTCTTCCATGTGTGCCCAGGTGGGGTGGATGTGGCCGCATCCTGTCTTCCGTGTGTGTGCCCAGGTGGGGTGGGCGTGGCCGCATCCTGTCTTCAGTGTGCGCCCAGGTGGGGTGGGTGTGGCCGCATCCTGTCTTCCGTGTGGGCCCAGGTAGGGTGGGCGTGGCCACATCCTGTCTTCCATGTGTGCCCAGGCGGGATGGGCATGGCCGCATCCTGTTTTCCGTGTGTGTGCCCAAGTAGGGTGGGCGTAGCCGCATCCTGTCTTCCGTGTGTACCCAGGTGGGGTGGGCGTGGCTGCATCCTGCCTCCCTTGTGTCCCCAGGTGAGGTGGGCGTGGTCGTGTCCTGCCTTCTGTGTGCCCAGGTGGGGTGGGCGTGGCCGCATCCTGCCTTCTGTCTCTGCTCATCTGTAAATGTCCTTTTTTGTGGTTTGCGTGTGCCATGTTTTTGCTCTCGTGTCCCTTTGGTGATTTTGCTGTTTAAAGCGGCCCCTGTGCCCGGTGCTGAAATGCCATCTGGTGTCCGTCAGCATAGGACGGCCATGGGGCACCCCGTGGAGAAATGCGTGTGGGGCGACCTGCCTCTGGGTGGGAGCTGTGGCACCGCTGGCTGTGAGCTTGATGTTAAGGGATCAATATACACGCTCAGTGCGGTGTCTGTGAATAGGGCCACACATAAAGCAGGGCCGGGTATTGATTGGCGGACGGAGCTGTTGTGACCGGAGGCGGCAGGAACCTCCCCTGGGCTGCCCCCAGGAGCAGGAGCTCCCTGTGCAGAGGCTTCCTAGACAGAACCCCAGGGGCAGCGACGGCTGACCTGGCGCCCCGTCCTCTTGCTGCTGCGGTGACGCTGCTCTGGGGCTGTGCCTCTTCTGTTGTTCTGGTGTGTCTCTGCATCCCCCTCACGTCTCTGCATCCCCCTCACGTCTCTGCGTCCCCCTCACGTCTCTGCATCCCCCTCACGTCTCTGCATGCCCCTCATGTCTCTGCATCCCCCTCACGTCTCTGCATCCCCCTCACGTCTCTGCATGCCCCTCACGTCTCTGCATCCCCCTCACGTCTCTGCATCCCCCTCACTTCTCTGTATCCCCCTCACCCCTTCGCCGGTGGGTGATGCTTGGGTGCTCCTCAGCAGGCCCCGTGACTTTGGCTGTGTGGCCTGAAGTGGGGCCGTGGAGCCCCAGGGTCTGCAGACACCCTTTCCACAAGCCCCACAGCCGGCCTCTGGGATGGGCTGCGCGCAGCCTGCAGGCCCCAATCCTCCTGTCCTTGCCGGCGGTGGCTGTGCTATGCCCCTCCAGTGTCTGCTGCTCCACACCGAGTGTGGCAGGTGCCCAGCGTGACTGGCCGCATTCATCTGACTCCTGTGAGGCTGGTCGCGTGAGCATACCAGCCAGCTGGCACCCTCCTCCTGAGAATCGCCGAGTCTTTGGTGCTCACTTCTTCTTCGGGGTTCTCTGACGTTTTCGTATCAGTTTCTGAAGCCTGCTGATGTGATCCCAGCCTCTCCCTCTTTGCGTGGGACCTGAGGTACAGGTGAGGTACAGGTACTGTTCTCCATATAATGATCCTATTATCTTTCTTTCCTAGTTTTTGAGTTATGTAAAAAAATAACTATTGAACTTTATGAAAAGCATTTCCAAGTCTTCTGAGACAATTGTGTGGTTTTTCTCCTGTGGCTCCTGATGGAACTAACCACAGGGGTGATTTTCTGGTGTGGAGCTGTCCCGGCACACCTGGCCTGCTTCACACGGTGTCACTTAAGGTACACTGTTGGATTCATTTCCATGAATGCAGCTTGCCTGTGACACACACACGCATAGCCACGCACGTCGGTGTGGATCTCAGGCCTGCCCGGGACTTTCTTCTCTCGTGGTGCCTGCGTGTGCTTATTTTCGCATCAGGGTTGCAGTGTTTTGCGTGTTTGTGTCCCTCCAACATTCATGTTCAAACATTAGCTCCAACAGTAGGACTAAGACGCAGGGCCTTTGGGAGATGGTTAGGTTTCAGGGGCTCTGCCCTCCTGGCTGGGATTAGGGCCCTTACCGAGGGTTTTGAGGGACTGGGCCCACTCACTTCTGCTCTTTGACAGGGTGAGGACCCGGTGACAGGACGCCATATTGGGAGCGGAGCCTGGGCCCTCGCCAGACACCAAACCTGCCGGCGCCCCTACCTTGGGCTTCCCACCCCCAGTACCTTTCTGTTCTTTGTAAATTACTCAGTCTGTGTGTTTTGTTACAGCAGCAGGGGCGGGACTAAGGCAAGAGTTGGCCATGCCTTGTGCACAGAGGTGGGAATAGCCCTGCTTTCTGTTCTCTGTTCTCTGTTTTCCCGAGTAGCTTGTCCCTGCCGGGTTGGGTTGCTGCAGAGGCTGCCTCTGCTGACCCTTTGGTCACTGGGTAGGGCTGGGAGGCCGTGCCAGTGTGTGCGCAGGTGTCTGTGCTTGCGTGTGCATGCCTGGGTTAGTGAATTTGTGCTGAGATGTACATATGTGTAGCAGGCCATGTGCCTTGTGTGTGTTGGCATGTGTGTGTAAGTGGGTGCCATGTGCCTGTGTGTCAGTATGCGTTTGAGTGTATACATGCGTGTGTGATCACGTGCCCGAGAGCATGCAAGCACCCACATTTGTGCAGGTGAGTGGATGCAGGTGTGTACATGTGTGCACTTGTGAACCTGCCCTGTGTGTACATGTGCTGGTGTGTGCATGCTTGTTTATGCTGTGCGCATGTGGGTGCCGTGTGTCAGTGTGAGCACACGTGTGTCACATGCGGCAGGCCTGGGCGTGTGTGCATGCACCAGGCTTGTATGCATCTGTGCAGGTATCATTTATGCACCTGCCATGTGCGTGTTTACGCGAGTGTGTGTGATGTGTGGGTGCAGGTCCGTGTGGGTGTGTACATGTGTGCCTATGCATGTGTGGTGTGTGTGAGCATGTGTGTGTGTGCGCGCATGCCTTCGTGTGTGTCTGAGGGGGCGGAGCACACCCCTCGAGCGTGCTGGCTGAGAGCACTCGGCCCTGCCTGGGCTTCTCGGGAGGCCCTGGCGGGAGCCCAGTAGCCACTTTAACCTTCACTGGCAGCACCGTGAGAGGTCTTGCACGACCTGGTGTAAATACAGCAATCTGCACTTCAGATAAATACAAGATGCATCAAAAGATTTAAGGCACCTGTTGTGTATTTAAAAGACTTATATCTTGTTTATGGTTCAGTATAAAACATACAGCTGATTTATTTAGTGGCTGGCCCATTGCAGAGGAAATCTCATTTCAATCATAAACGGCAGGGTTTGATTTAAGAATTCATTCTTTAATGGGTCTGCAATGTTCAAATTTAAACCCATTCAATTCATCAGCCAAATATTCAATATGGGCACAGGGAACTCATTTAGGCAAACAGAGACTTTTAATATAAATTTTCCGGGAGATTTCTCCATCGATTCCGCAGTTTAGTGCAAAATGATTTGTGCGATACATTCTTGGGGATCAATGCCGCCGGTCAATGGCTCCTATAAAACCACCTCCCCTGCCAGGCACGGGTCAAGGAACTTTAGCTCTCGGGTAGCTGCTCGGCCGGACAGCAGCACTCTGCTGGAGTCGTCCCTTCTCTCTGCATGTGCCGCCATCCACTGGCCACCTCCTGGCAGAGGGGCTGCCTCCAGCCTGTGCTGAGAACCTTTGGCATGGCCAGGGTGGGGGGCCCTCACCCTCCATGCTGGCCCCTTGCCCACCGTGTGGACAGAGACTGCAGGGCTCAGGAGCCAGGGCCCCCACGGAGGCGCCTCTGCTGCTGGCACATGGAGCAGCCTGGCACGGTGCTGCCCGCCCAGGCCTTGGTACCTGCCTGTGTCTGGAGGCCCAGCAGGGGCTACATGTGGCCTTTGAAGTGAGGAGCTGCCTGTCTTCTTGTGCACCAGGGGCACCTCAGGAGAGGCTCTGCCAGCTGGGCCAGTGCAGGTCAGCTCAGTTCCCTGCCCTGGGACTGGTGAGGAGCCTCTGTGACCTGAGCTGCCCTTGTGGCCTGAGCTGGGTCTGAGGGCTGCTCTCCAGGACAGGCCAGGAGGACGGGGGGAGACTGACTGCTGAACACCAAGGCTTCGAACTGGGGTGGCGGGGGCCCCCCTCCAGCCAGGGGTGTCTCTCAGGGCCCACGGACAGACCCCACACCCCCATATCCTGGCCCAGCCAGTGCTCCAAGGACTGAGCTGAGCAAGAGGAGTGAAGGCCACACACAGTGTCGCTGCAAATGAGGGACACCGCCCACTGCGCCCCTGCTTCCTGTGAGCCGGGCTGGGTCAGGCGGCTGAGACGCACCTCAGGGTGGCCCAGAGGCCCCGTTCTGTGCCCCCATTCCCCAGCTAGGGCCCTGAGGATCTGCCGGAGGTCACCAGGCAGGGTTCAAAGCCACATGGTCCAGCCCACGTCCGTGCAACCAGCAGGTGCCAGTGGCAGGGCTGTGCCCTGGAGCAGGGTGGGTGCTCAGAGTGTGGGCAGCCTGAGGGCCTCGGGTGTGCTGCGGACAGGGCTGGTCCAGGGGTGAGTCGGGGGCAGAAAGAGGGCAGCCGGGGCCCGGGTTGGGGGCAGGGGCCAGTGTTTTGAGTGTGGCCGCAGAGCCTGGCAGGGCAGATGGGGGCGTCTGGCTGCCCTGCCCTGTCATGGGGCTGTGCAGTGGGGGAGAGCCTGGGAGGTGCCCCTCCAGCCTTGGCCTGGGGTCACAGCCACCTCAGCCGCCTGCCCAGCTGGGGTGCCCAGGCCTCTGTCCCCCACCCCAGGCCGCCCCCCACGTCGCGGAATCCCTCCCAAGCCCAGATGCCCTGCCTGGGGACTTTGCAGTCTCTCCACCCCAGGCCACCCCCACTGCCCTCCCTGTTGTCCTCCAGGCCCTAGTCTGGCCCTCCCAGTGTTGGGCACCTCTTGCTGCTCTGGCCCCGAAAACAGGGGCCCTGCTGGGATCCCCGGTCACCATCTCCACAGACCTTCGAGGCACGTAGCCCCTGCACCACGCCTGGGCATCCGAGAGCCTGCTCACTTGTTCATCCCTCCCCTTGCCCGTCTGCCCCTTGGGCTCCCCTGCACGGGCGGTGTCCTGAGGCGGGTGGCAGGTCTTCCGGCAGGCAGCTGGGGTCCGGGGGCCAGGGGAGGCAGCTGGAGTCTGGGGGCCAGGGGAGGAGAAATTCTTGGTGTGGGGGCAGCGCGTTGAGTGGGGTGTAGGGAGGGGTTGGGGAAGGGGGACAAGCTGCTGTGGACGGGCCCAGTCCTGGGTGCCCCCTCGGCACTGAGCTGGCAGGGGGCTCAGCATCCATGATGAGGGGTTATAGGTGCTCACAAGCATAGGGAAGTCGCAGGGGCTGAGACACCCATCTCGGGGGCCGCCACAAAGCCCTGGGTTCCAGGGAGGCCATATTAGTCCATTCTCATGCTGCTATAAAGAACTGTGTAATTTATAAAGGAAAGAGGTTATTTATTTATTTATTGAGACAAAGTCTCTGTTGCCCAGTCTGGAGTGCAGTGGCGCGATCTCGGCTCACTGCAGCCTCTGCCTCCTGAGTTCAAGCGATTCTCCCACCTTAGCCTCCCGAGTAGCTGGGATTACAGGCGCCTGCCACCATGCCTGGCTAATTTTTATATTTTTAGTAGAGACGGGGTTTCACCATATTGGCCAGGCTGGTCTTGAACTCCTGACCTCAGGTGATCCACCTGCCTAGGCCTCCCAAAGTGCTGGGATTACAGGCGTGAGCCACTGCACCTGGCCAGGAAAGAGGTTTAATTGACTCACAGTTCCATGTACTGAGGAGGCCTCAGGAAACTTATAACCCTGATGGAAGGCGCCTCTTCACAGGGCAGCAGGGGAGAGGGTGAGAGCCTGGCGAAGGGGGAAGCTCCTTATTAAACCATCAGATCTCGTGAGACTCACTTGTTGTCAGGAGAACAGCAGTATGAGGGTATGTGCACCCATGATCCAGTTACCTCCACCGAGTCCCTCCCATGGCATGTGGAGATTATGGGAGTTACAATTCAAGATGAGATTTAGGTGGGGACACAGCCAAACCATATCAGAGGCCCCGGGGCAGGTGCAGGCCTGGGCCTTCCCGTGAGAGTCAGTGAGGCCCTGGAGCCTGTCAGGACCTGGGGGGCTGGAAGGAGGCCCGAGGGGCTGATGAGGGATGGGGGTGTGGGGCTGGCCATGGACCCCAGGCCCCGGACTCTGTTTCTGAGAGTGGGGGACCCCAGGCAGCAGAGACAGCCCTGCCAGAGCCACATCCTGAGGGGAGGGGATCCCTGAGACCAGCGACAACTCTGGACAGCCCTCTCTCCCAGAGGCCTAGGGGGCTCCTGAGCAGGAGCCAGGGCTTGGGGTCTGCAGCACCGCTGGGCTTGGTTCCTGACGTGGATTCAAGGCCAAGTCTGAACTGCATCGGCAGCCGCCATCCCATTTGCTCAGTGGTGCAGCGCTGGGCCATCTGTGTCTCTCCCTCCTGCTCCTCCTTGGGCCCCGCCTCCAAACCCGCATGGTCCCTGTCCCTGGCGCCCTCCGTCCCGTAAGCCCAGCATACGAGGATTCACCAGGAATGAAAAGCAGAACCCATATTGATTTCATTTCCAAATTATTAATCAGCTTCACAGCTCAGCAGAAGTATTGCATTGTTCAGCTTGGACAGATCCAAACGGCTCTCCCTCCGGCGAGCAGGGATGGGTGAAGGACGGGGAGTGATGGACGGGGCTGAGGCCAGGCACTGGTGGGCAGCGGGTGTCAGGTGCCGGAGCCGTTACTAAGCAGAGTGTGTGTGTAGCGGCTGCAGGACCCTCCTTGGGTTTCAGCCACTGCTGACCTGACTTTGCTGCCTCTAAGCCTCCCCCACCCACTGGGCCCTCCCACCAGGGGCCTCACCTCTTGCCACGGAGCCCCTCAGGAACCAGCAGGACAGGCCCCTGGGACAACAGAGAGCAAGACGGAGACAACTGCAGCCTCCACCCGTGGCTGGCGCCTGGGCGGGGAGGGGCCCGTGAGCATGGAAACAGCAGATCCACGCAGTTTCAGGCCACCGTCGCCACTGTGGAGGGAATTATGGGGCTGGGGGCACCCAGGACGGGGCTCTCTCAGGAGGCCATGTTTACACGGAGGTCTGGAGGTTCAGGAGGGGCCGCCTGGGGTGGGGGTCTCAGGGTGCAGGCACGGCAGGTGGAACACATAGAAGATCGGAGAGGCCGGGAGGGGCTGAGGAGACCAGGGGGGCCATAGGGGCACCATCAGTGGCTGAGCTGGGGTTTTGTTCTCTGTGTCCTGGGAAGGTGATTTTTTTGTTTTTGTTTTTATTTTTCTGAGACAAAGTTTTGCTCTGTCACCAAGGCTGGAATGCAGTGGCCCAATCTCGGCTCACTGCGACCTCCGCCTCCCGGGTTCAAGTGATTCTCCTGCCTCAGCCTCCTGAGTAGCTGGGATTACAGGCTCGTGCTACCACATCCGGCTACTTTTGGTGTTTTTTTTTTTTTTGAGACGGAGTCTCACTCTTTTTGCCCAGGTTGGAGTGCAGTGGCGTGATCTCGGCTCACTGCAACCTCTGCCTCCTCGGTTCAAGTGATTCTCATGCCTCAGCCTCCCGAGTAGCTGGGATTACAGGCACACGCCTCCACGCCCAGCTAATTTTGTATTTTTAGTAGAGACATGGTTTCTCCATGTTGATCAGGCTGGTCTCCAACTCCCGACCTCAGGTGATCCGCCCACCTCGGCCTCCCAAAGTGCTGGGATTAGAGGTGTGAGCCACTGCACCCGGACTGGGCGGGTGAAGCCAGGGCTTGGCATGGCTTGATTTCCACAGGATGGATGTGGATTAGGGGACATCAGTGGTGGGGGGGCGGCCTCACTTAGGCCCGAATGGATGAAAGGATGTGATATGGAAAATTCACTTCAAGATGCTCTGGGGGATGGGTGGGGTGGAGATGGAGCCACTTTGCTCCTGAGTTGACGATTGAAGGCCGTGGGTGAATGGCACGAGGTCCCATGCTACAGGTCTCACTGCTTTTGTGTACGCACGCACGTTTCCATAATAATAGAATAAAAACTGGAATGAGACACCCACTAGGATGGCTATGATTAAAAAAAAAAAAAACCCAGAGGCTGGATGCAGTGGCTCACACCTGTAATCCCAGCACTTTGGGAGGCCGAGGCAGGCGGATCACTTGCGGTCAAGAGTTCAAGACCAGCCTGGCTAATAGGGTGAAACCCTGTCTGTACTAAAAATACAAAAATCAGCCGGGTGTGGTGGCGCATGCCTGTAATCCCAGCTACTTGGGAGGCTGAGGCAGGAGAATCGCCTGAACACGGGGAGCAGAGGTTGCAGTGAGCTGAGATCGGGCCACTGCACTCCAGCCTGGGTGATAGAGTGAGACTCCGTCTCAAAAGAAAGAAAACAAAAAACCCAGAAAGTGGCAAGCGTTGTGGAAGCTGTGGAGACGCCGAAACCCTCGTGCCCTGTTGGTGGGAACGTGAGGTGGTACAGCTGCGGTGGGGAACAGCATGGCAGCTTCCAAAACGTTAAACAGAATCTCCAGGTGATCCTGAAATTCCGCCTCTGGGTACAGGCCCAAGGGAGTGGAAAGCAGGGGCTGGGACAGCTGCACCCGCATTCACAGCAGCGCTTTCCCCGACAGCTAGGGGGCGTGGCTGCCCGAGTCCCTCGCAGGGGAACGCTACACAGGGGTCCATCCGTGCAGTAGACTATTATGCAGCCAGGATAAGGAAGGGGGTTCTTCAATGTGCTTCAGGAAGGCGCACCTTCGGGACACCATGCTGAGTGAAACGAGCCATCGTCAGAGGACCCGTCCCACATAATTGAGTCGTTTATGCACTTGTCATTATGCACTTGTCTGAGTCACGCGGTAGGCAGGACACACACCTCACACACTCTGGGGGTCTGGGGTCTGCCTCGGTCCTCTGCATGAAACAGTGGGGCTTCTAGAATCTGAAGGGCATCGGGTCTCGGCTATCTTAGCAGTCCCGCGAGGAGCCCGCGGCGGGAAGAGCTTACCGTGGAGGGGTGGGGAGTGTGGCTTTTGTCTAATGACATAGACCCCAGTAAGAGTCATAGGAGGCCGGGTGCGGTGGCTCATGCCTGTAATCCCAGCACTTTGGGAGGCCGAGGCGGGAGGATCATGAGGTCAGGAGATCAAGACCATCCTGGCTAACACGGTGAAACCCTGTCTCTACTAAAAATACAAAAAAAAAAAAATTATCCAGGTGTGGTGGCAGGCGCCTGTAGTCCCAGCTACTCAGGAGGCTGAGGCAGGAGAATGGCGTGAACCCGGGAGGCGGAGCTTGCAGTAAGTTGAGATCGCGCCACTGCACTCCAGCCTGGGCGACAGAGCGAGACTCCATCTCAAAAAAAAAAAAAAAAGAGTCATAGGAAACCCGCAGCATTTTGGAGAGAATTCCTGGCACAGGCCCTGCTAGGCCAGCTAACGTCAGTCATGCTGCCTACAAAACAAAGAGAGCACTTCCAGTTTGGGCTAAAGAGGACAGGAACGGGACAACGAGGGTCCCCCTGAACTCCAGTGGGGAGGGGGAAAGGGGAGAAGACTCTGAAGCCTGGGCCGGGAGCATGAGAGCCACCAGGACTCCTGGGAAGAAGGGGTGCGCCAGTCAGCAACCTCGAAAGCTGTGCCCGCCCCAGGGTTTCAGAACTGCTGCGGGCGGTGCCTGCAGGTGCCTCTGGGCAGCCCCACCCTTGAGTGCAGGACGTGGGCAGAGCTCACCCTGCAGGGTCGGCAGGGAGCCCTGGGTCTCTGGGGTGCACGGAGGAGGCACCCCGAGGAGCCGCGTCCACACCTGGACCCGCAGGGAGAGGAGGGATGGGAAGTGTGGCTGGAGGGCGGCTGTGGCAGAACACGCTTTTCAAAAGTGGTTGCGCGTCGTCCCCTCCCTCACGCTCATCTTGCTCTGGGCCTCTCACAACCACACTCCGAGTCAGGCTCCACGCCCAGCCCCTGGAAGCTGGGTGCAGGGTCCTTTGGTGGGGGCGGAATGGGCGACTCCAGGCTGGGTCACCGGCACGGCTGTCTCCTGGGTTCTCCTGAGCACTTGCTCCTGGGACCTGGAGCTGGGCTGTGAGGAAGCCCCAGCCACATGGGGAGGATGGGGAGGCTGCGCTGGGAGTTCCGACTCCAGTCCCAGCTGAGGCCGCGCTGAGAGCACCCAGCCAATGCCTCCGACGTTGTGGAGCGGAAACAACCCCACCCCCACCGCCTACTCTGAATTCTGGGCCTGGAGGCCGTGGGCATCGTGAAATTGCCCGGTGGAAGCCGCTCAGCTTTGGAGTGGTTGGTGCTGCCACAGCACACCCTGCACACCCGAGACTCAGCAGCCAGGTGGAGCCCGGTGTCTGCAGGTGGCGGGAGCAGGGTCTGGCTCAGATGCCAGCAGGCAGGTGTCCCAGAGAGAGGGGCAGGTTCCTGCCAAGCAGGAGATGTGGAGGCCCCACGTGCGTGTTGAGAGGGGGCAGGAGGGGGGCAGGGCCAGAGCCTTGGGGAGTTGAGGTCCTGGGAGCAGCTGGCAGACAGCACTGCGGGAGCGGGGCAGAGCACTGGGGGAGCCGCCGCAGGGTGGGGGTGGTGCTCGGTCTGGGTTTTCTTTGCTTTAGGCTGGGGATGCTTTTTCTGGAGTGGGGCGGGGGCTGCAGCGGATGCTCTGGGGAAGCAGGAGGAGGCGGGAGGGCGTGGGAGCAATGTTAGTCCCGGGAAGGGCCCCAGAGGATGGCCGTGTCCGTCGGAGGAAGTGGGCAGTGCAGTCCCTGTGCTGTCCTGGGGGAAGTAGGGTGGTCATGCGGTCCCAGCACTTGTTGGAGAGAGGGAGTGAGGGGCCCTGACCCGCCCTGAGTCTCAGTTGTGAGGCCAGGGCGCCGTGCGGCTTTGTGAGTGGGGGGCTCCCTGGGGTCTCTCGGGGATGTGCTGACCTTGGGTGTCCCCCACGCCCTGCACACTGAGGCCCCCTCCTGCCCACGGTACGGGACCCTCCACGTTCCTGTCCAGGGTCCAATTCCAGGCTCCAGGTCTGCGCCCTCAAACAGCACTGGGTGCCCCCACCCCAACCTGCGTAGGCAGCCACCGCCTACACCCCGCCTGAGCCCTCCCCATCTCCTTTCTACTCCGGCCGCTGCACACGTGGGGTCTGACTCAGCCCTTGGGCAGCCCTGGGTGGGTGCGGCAGCCTCGAGCCTTCTTCCCCACCCATCCACACAGCCTGGGACCATCCTGGGTCTGCACCAGGCAGCCCCTTCCCGGGGGCAGAACCTTTCCTCGGGTCCTGTCCACCCCAAATGTTTAGAGTTGGGGGCAGCAGGGGCAGGCACCCTGCCTGGACCACCCCGCGATGATGGCCCCAGTGTGGCCTGGGCAGGGTCTCTGAGGGCAGCCGGGCAGGGCTTTTCTGGCAGGCTGGAGGCAGCAGCTGTGCCCATGAGGGCTTGTGAGGGATGGGAACCCTCCTACCTGGCTGGCCCAAGGTGGCCTTGGCCCTGTCGCCCCGAGAACTGACACCGGCCAATGTCAGGCCTGCAGCAATCGCTGTCTGCTCTGCGTAGGGCACTGCCCAGGACGCCTGCCAGCCTCTGAGGCTCCACACCCCAGGCTCCCTGGGGCCATGTTTTGTGACATTGCTTCTTCCACTTTAAATCTGCTTAACCCTTTCTTTGGGGCAATTTCAGCACGTCCCGAGGGGCTCTTCAAGCTGCAGGCCGCACACACACTGCCAGGTGGTGGGGGCTACCTGGTGGGAGCCGTGTCAGTGGGGCCAGGGATGCTTGGGAGGGGCAGGGCTGCCTTCACCACCCAGAGCCAGGCTGGACCCCTCCAGTGCCAGGGTCTGTAGAGGGAGGAAGCCTCCTGGGACCATCGGCAGAGGGATGGGGTGCCGGGCCCCACCCTGCCCCTGAGCTGCCCCAGGCCATTCCTACCCACTGGGGCTTCCAGCCTTGGTCAGCAGGGTGTCCTCTCCTGTCCTGCGGTGGGCGGCCCAGCAGCCTCTGTCCCCGCCTCTCTGTTGCTGTGGTCGGCTCTGCCTTCTGCCCTGCAGAGGGGAGCCGTCTCGCCCCTCAGGGACTGTGGCTGGCCTGTCTCTTGTGGGCCCCTTGAAGGTCTGGCTCTTCCCCTCCCCGTGGGTGACGATGCTTGGCTCCTGGGTGTGCCCACCAGCGTTTACCCATTCCACCCTCCTGGTGGCCCCACGCCTGCAGGCTGTTGCCATCCCATGTCTTATCCAAGGAAACTGAGGCACAGAGAGGCTCCTTGCTACTCGGCTCGCCCCACTCATACACACAGCTGGGCTTCCCACCGAGCAGGAGCCGCCGCACTGGGCTTGGGGAAAGGTGGCGAGAGGACGCAACCTCTGAACTCAGGGCCCTCGTTGTGAAATGCGCCACCCCCGAGCTGTGTCCGGACGGCTGGGAGATGGGAGAGGATGGAGGACAGGGCAGCCAGGAGGGCGGCCCCCATGACCCGAGTGCCGTGGCTGGCCTGGCGGGTAGACGGAGGGGGCGTCCTGGAGTGGTGTGAACCATGGCCCTGGTGGGCCGGCTTCCAAGCAGCCCCTCCCGCCGGAGCCGGCTCCTGCTGCCCTCAGACCCCTCCTGGGGCCCTAGTGGACCTCCTTCCCACGGTGGGTGGGCCGAGACCCCTGGGTTCCGGGACCGTCACACCCGCACTTGCCACTGTCGTACCTTACACCGGGTCTCGCTCAGCCTGGCCTCGCAGCTCCTGCCTGGCGGGGAGGGGGCGCGCGGAGGGGCCCACCCAGACCTGAAATAATTCACTTTCTCTCCCCCCAGCTTTGAAGCGAGTCAATTTTTCAAACCACATTTGCTCTCTTATTGTTTATTTTCGGGCAGCAGCAGCAATTTTCGAGGCCGCTGCCGATACCCACCTCAGATATCTCTCGGGTCACCTGTCATTCCAGAAAGGTCAGCGATTCATTTAAAGTTTCATCACTCTTCACATAAGCAGGCAGACACCATTTCATTTGCCGCAGCCTTTGTGTGGGCCAGAGACCCCAGCCTGTCGCCACCTTCCTGGCCAGGGAATTGACGGCAAGACCGGCACCTCTGCCTGTGTGTTGCACCCACTGCCCCTCCCCTGCCCCTGCAGCCACCTAAACAGACTTTCATTTGGAGGCAATTTGGGAGGTGGGGGCCCAGCTCCCCCGGCAGGGCTTCTTGCCCCAGATCTCTTAAAATGGAATTATCCAATTATGCCAGGCCCCCCTGCATCTCTGCCCAGCCACTGTGTGGATGACACCATCAGCCATGCATGAGGCAGGCCTAGTCCTGGGTGTAGCCGCCGGCACCACCATGAACCAGCCCTGGTGCCCTGGCACGCCAAGGTGACACCCACCGTCCCATCTCCCCCGGCCCACCTCCACCATCCCACCTCCCCCGTCCTACCTCCCCCGGCCCACCTCCACTGTCCCACCTCCCCCATCCCATCTCCCCCGGCCCACCTCCACCGTCCCACCTCCCCTGGCCCACCTCCCCAGGCCCCACACAAGCTGGACTGGCCGCCCATCCCCCCTCCCCCAGCCTCGCTCTAGCTGGATTGGCCACCCGTCTAGTTTGGCACCTAGTCCCCATCGGGCACTTTGGGTCAGGCAGCCCACGTGCCAGGCCCTGCCATAGCTTAGGGCCCCCAGGAGGGACACATCCTCTCCCCAAGGAGCTCACAGCCCAGGGGCAGGGGGTGCCAGGGGAGGGCAGGAGAGACAAATGTTGCTCCTGGGGAATGGGTGATCCTGGCAGGCCTTGAGGGTTGGGCATGGCAGATGGGGTGCATGGCAGATGGGGCGCATGGCAGATGGGGCGCATGGCAGATGGGGCGCATGGCAAATGGGGCGCAGCCTGTTCTGCAGACTTTCCAGGTGGGGGCTGGGGGGCGCAGTGCACCCGGGAGGGGCAGCAAGGCACAGGTGGGTGCAGGAGGAGGCCTAGGAGCTGGGATGACAGGGGCCGGGTCCCATGGAGCTCCTCCCGCCACGCCCTGACTGCTCAGCCCTGGCCTGTGTGAACGGTGGACGGATGGGCCCTTGAGGGTGGTGTGTCCGGAAGAGCAGCTGGAAGGGCGAGGCCGCTGCCTGGTGTCCCCACTGTACGGGGGGCCCCCGGAAAGCAGTGCCCAGGAAAGTGCAGGTTTTTCCTGCATGGGGGACCCAGGTGGGTGTCCGACCTGTTGCGGCTCCAGGGGTCCCCTGGGAGGTCTCTGGCCCTGCCCGTTGGCAGCCTGGGATGAGGTGGGGGCCTGACTCAGCGGACAGGGTCTGGAGGACTGTCCCAACCCCCACCCCCACCTCCACTGTGGCAGCTGGGGCAGGGCTGGGCAGGAGGGCTCTTGAGATGGAGGCCTCAAGACAGCTGGCCCTGGGCGTGGCCCTGGGGGGCGTCTGCCTGCTGTTCTAGGAGCCTTGAGCTTCTCGGCCCCTCCCTCCAGGGCTGGGCCCTGGGGCAGGGCTGGTCGCCATGTCCCAGACGTCGAGCCTAACAGCCTGGGCCTGACAGGAGCCGTCTCCTCCGAACCCGCACTTGCCCCGCAGAGGATGCAGTGGTACAGATGCTAAGATGGAAGACACAGCGACAGGGAAGTGGTCAGGGCTGGGTGCAGGGGGATTGCCTGAGCCGGGGAGGCTGAGGCAGGAGGATCGCTTGAGCCTGGGAGGTCCAGGCTGCCGTGAGCTGTGATCACACCACTGCACTCCAGCCTGGACGACAAAGCAAGATCCTGCCTCAAAAACGAAAAAGAAAAAGAAAAGAAGTGGTCAGGTGGAGCAGGGCAGAGGGGAGGCAAGCCGATGGGGACCGCAGTGTGCCGGCCACAGCAATGGCGCCTTTCTTGCTCACCCTGGCCGTGTGGGGCCTGCAGGGACAGTGCACACGTGGGGTCCCAGCCCCTGCCAGGGCCTCGGGTGGGTGGGTGGCCTCCTGGTGCAGCCCTGTCCTCCCTGCGCTGGGGGCAGCAGTAGGGGAGGGGCTGAGGGTTAGAGGGAGAGTGGCTCCCTGGCCCCACCTGCCTATAGACATGGCTTTCTGGTTCATTCGGCCTGGGGAACTGCCGTGTCCACCTGCTGACTTGAGGGGCACCCTGAGGCTCCTGTGAGGGGGTGAACCCAGCCCCTGCGTGCCCCAACTTCAGGCCAGAGCCCTCCTCTGCAGAGGAGCCCCAACTCTGACCCCTTCTGGAGTAGGGCACCCCCTCCTGCCCCAGCCCTCAGCTCACCTCACACTAAAACCGGCAGCAGGGCTTGGCTCATCCCTGGCAAGGCAGCCCCCACCTCGGCTCAGCTGAGTGCCTGGACTCTGGCGAGGGGAGGACTTGCTCAGTGGTCCCTGCATTAGGGAAGTGGCCTGTGCCCCAACCATAGCACCCAGTGAAAAGTGGGAGGGGCCTCGCCTAGGTGGGAGAGGGGGTCACACGTGGTGGGGCCTGCATCAGGGGAAGGGAGAGGGAGAGGAGGAGGGGGAGGAGAGGAAATAGGAGGGGGAGGGGCGGCAGTACCCCAAGGGACCGCCACAGCGCCATGCAGCCCACACCCTCTGCCCTGCCGTTTTCTTTCCTGGGAGCCAACACTCAGCGCCACTGGCCCCACTGGGACTCGGAGTGCCTGTGCAGGTGTCTGGGGTGAGTATGCGTGTGGCTGGCAGGTGGCGGGGTGTGTGGTGTCTGTGCACGTGTGTTTGACTAGTGTGGGTATGTATGTGTGTGTTGTGAGGGGGCGCAGCCTCCCAGAGGGCCAAGCGGGGTGGGCTGGGCTGGGCCAAGGCCCGCCTAGGCTCTTGCAGAGGTAGGGGAGGTGCTCTGGTCCCCCGGGCTGAGGGCAGTCCCCACCCTTGAAAATTGTGCTATTTGCACAATTCTTTCTCATGCATTCCACCTGTGCTGACGAGGCCGCACGCCTCCCCAGCCTCCTGTCCAGTGCTGCTCCCGTGGCTGTGGGGCCTGGGGCCACTCATTTGGCCTCTGTGCCTTGTCTCCTTGTCTGCGAAACACTCGAGATGTCCCTCAGGTCCAGGTGCCATGCCCTGCCCCCGATGGGCTCCTGGCTGGCCCGAGTCCCACTGTGCTTCTGCTCCGGCCAAGTACCGGGCGGAGTTGTTGGAGCTGACGGCCCTGAGCTCCGGCACCCTGGATCCCCTGGCCTCGGTGAAGTACCAGGCAGGGTTGGAGCTGACGGCCCTGCGCTCCGGCACCCTGGATCCCCTGGCCTCGGCGAAGTCCCGGGCGGGGTTGGAGCCGACGGCCCTGAGCTCCAGCACCCTGGATCCCCTGGCCTCGGTGAAGTACCAGGCGGGGTTGGAGCCGACGGCCCTGCGCTCCGGCACCCTGGATCCCCTGGCCTCGGTGACGAAGGGTCTGCCAGGCCAGGAGGGAAGCGGGCCGGGGAAGGAACGCGGTGCTGCACCCGCACGCACCCCTGCGCACGCTACAGAGAGGAGAGAGAAAGATAACTGATGGGTAGTATTTTAAGGCATATTAACCCAATTACAAGTATATTTTTACAATCATGACTCCAACATTTATCACGCAGCATTTATTAGCCCCGGAGCTGGGCTGTGCCACGTGAAGGCTGTGAAACAGCAGCATTTCATTACGCTCCGCCCGCCGGGCTCCATCCTGCGGCTCTTAAACCGCATGATTTTATCAAAATCTTCGGAAATTGAAGCAATCACTAAAAGGTGTCGGGGAATTAAAATGTCCTGTCTCAGTGTAAGAGATACACTTCTCGTAACATATATCAGTGGCTCTTTTTTTTTAAAGACACATTACTATGCAGAGAAAAGGCATCAAACCGGGAGGGGGTGCGTTCCAGAAGGATCGGACGACAGCAATTCTTCACGCTTAAAAATCGTCTCCTGAGGGACGTGCTGCCTGCAGAACTGCTTCTGTGGCCGCTCTGGGAGTGCCAACGTGGCTGTCTTACCCACTTCCTTTCTCAGCCTCATTGTTTGGGGATTGCGGCCCCCGTCAGCCTCTGCTTTGAGGAAACAGATCCAGGCAGCCCCTCAACCAGAGTGGGGGTCCTGGCTCCCGTCCGTGCCCCTCCGGGCCAAGGGCCTGGCGGAAGGCGCAGCGTTTGGAGTTGGCCCCACGTTTTTCCCGCACACTCCATGCAGCTGCGGCTGCAGGCCTCGGATCAGAGCAGGCAGTCCGCTGTGCCTTCCCCACCGCCCAGGGCCTCGGTGGAGCTGTTTTTCTCCCAGAATCTTCTCCCACTTACCTCCCCACAGCCGGAGAAGGGGCAAGAAGGGGCTGGGCCCCTAGGGGCTCACAAAGGGGGTACGTAGGCAGCAGCAGTGGCCTTCGGCTGGGCCTGGGGATGCAGCTTGGCTCTCAAAGGGCACCTTCCAGGTGTTTCTTTTAGAACAGTCCTGGGGTTCCCATGAGGTCATTCCGCCAAGGTCCTCAGTTCTTTTTGGAGCCTCGCTCTGTTGCCGAGGCTGGAGTGCAGTGGTGCGATCTCAGCTCACTGCAACCTCTGCTTCTCAGGTTCGAGCGATTCTCCTGCGTCAGCCTCCTGAGTAGCTGGGATTACAGGCGCCCGCCACCACATCCGGCGAATTTTTGTACTTTTAGTAGAGATGGCGTTTCACCATGGTGGCCAGGCAGGTCTCGAACTCCTGACCTCATGTGATCTGCCTGCTTAGGCCTCCCAAAGTTCTGAGATTACAGGCGTGAGCCACCGCGCCCGGCTGGTCCTCAGTTCTTTGGGACGATGGGCTGTACCACCCAGGTGCTCCCTGCAGCCACATAGGGCTGGATGGGGCAGGAGGCACTGTTGGGGGGCCCCGGAGGGTTTGACTTCCCCTCTCAGGAACTTGGGACTGTTTAGGGACCCACACTGTGCTGGGTCAGTTCTGAGGGAGGGGCTGGGGGTCTGGAGCAGGCAGGGGGCACACCTGTGTGGGGTGTGTGGCTCTCCAGGGCCCTGGGCCCAGCAGCATGGTTCCTGGGCTCCTGCCTGGCCCCGAGGAAGAACCTGGTCCCCCAGTGCGTGTTTGCTGTGGGGTCTGAGTTGGGGGTAGACGTGGGGGCACGGGGCAGTCCTCAGGGCTCCCCTCACCTCAAGCTGTGTCGGGCCGGTGGGGTTCTGCTGGGTTTGAGTTTAGGATGGGCAGTGGTGGGGGGAGGAGCAGAGGCAGGGGAGTGAGGGGACCCTCGAGGGGGACCCCTGATAGAGAGCCAGGCGGCTGAGGGCCCTGCCGATGTCTGGCTGGAGCCCAGGGGTGCCCGGTGTCTGTGTTCTCCAGATGCCCTTGGTGTCTGGGGAGCCCAGGCCTGTGGGAAGAGGCTGGAGTCCCAGTGAGGGAAAAGAAGGCCCTGCCCCACTGGATCCAGAGATGCCAGAGGAGCTGCCTGTCCCCTCTCGGAGCCTTGGTGGCCTGGACGTTGAAGTAGGGGAGATGCGATGCTGGAGGGAGGCCCCGAGGAGGGTGCGGAGCTGCCCAGGGCGAGCCCCCGGGGGCCTTTCCCACCTGCCAGGGGCTGTCTCCCTCTCCTCCGTTTCTCCCTCTGTCTCTCTCTCCCACTGTCTCTGTCTCTCCCCACTCCGTCTCTGTCTCTTCCCCATCTCTGTCTCTCCCCTTGTCTCTGTCTCTCCCCTTGTCTCTGTCTCTGTCTCTCTCTCTCTCTGTCTTTCCCCCTTTTAAAGGAAGTTTCATGGGAGAAGTACAGTTGGGAATCTGGAAGCAACCCGCATGTACCGTGTGGCACGGCCTCGGTGGAGGCCACAGCAGCCCGCGGCGGGCGGACACCGTGTGAGTGAAAGAGCCAGTCCCTGAAGGTGCCCTTCCATCTGGTCCCTGTAGAGGGCATGCCTGCAGTGACACAGCTGTGGAAATGGAGGGCAGATGAGTGGTGTCCGGTTCGGGTGGTGTGGTGGGCAGTGGAGGGCCAGGAGGGTCCTTGAGGTGGGAACAGCGCCCACATCTGGACGGTGTAGCCAGCGTTGGGCGGTGACACTGGCCACAGCTTGGCAAGAGGGTACCTTTGGGGAAGGTGGGTGGGGGCGCACTGGATCTCTTTGTGTTGTTTCTCATAACTGTATGTGAAACTACAATTTTCTCAAAGTAAAAAGTTTAATTGAAAACAATACGTGGCTATAATAAAAAATCCGGACAGCATGGAATTATGTAGAGGGGACCTGCCAGCCCAGCGTCCCTCAGCCTGGCCCTGTGCTGCGAGGATGTGAGTCAGAACTCAGCCCCCACCAGACCATGCATGGTCCCTGGAGGTGGCCTGGTGATTCTGTGGGTGTGGCCTGGTAGTGGCCTTGGAGCCAACCCTCCCCTCGTCCCTCTGTCTCTGTGTGCACTTTTTGCCCAGCGCAGGAGCAGGGACCCTCATGGGCCACATCAGCAGGGAGAGGCAGCAGAGGCTGGACGGCCACTCTTGTGGCCCCACGTCTCAAGATGGTGGTGCTGGTCCCCATTGAGCTCAGCCGTGCCTTGGGCAGACAGTGACCAGGGGTCACACCCGGTCCTGTGGACCATCACTGAGCACCTGCACCACAGAGAGGATCAGACTGGCCTCTGGGGTGGGACTCTCCTCTGACAGCACAAGAGAGGAAGAGACAAAGGGCCCCAGTAGACCACAGATGGGCCTACCTGAGGCCTCTCAACACATCAGAGCTGGTGCCTGGACTGAGTTGCAATTCTGCTGCTTCCTCTCTGCCCGGCTGGACTGGGGACCGGGCCTGGCTCCTGGGAGCTGTGTGCTGGCGCTTCCCGCGGTGCTGGGTAAGCTCCAAGTGTCCTGCCAGGCTTTGCAGTGTCAGGAGGGGTCTGTGCACAGGACAAGGGCTGCTTGGTGCTGTTTTTTTGTCTGCCGTCTGTGCCACGATTTATACCAGTGGTGACTTCCCAGGGCTCCCACCAACCCCAGCCCCACCCCACCAGCCACGTAGTGTCAGTGGTTTCTGATGTGCCCAGCACCACCAAGCCTAGGGGTGGGGCAGCCCTGCTGTCCCCGGCCTGTGGTGGACCCCCAGCCTCTGCATGCCCCTTCTCAGCCTTCAATAGACAAAAGCCTGGGAGGGTCAGCAGGGCGCCAGGATGTGGGGAGCCTGTCCTGGCCACTGTCCAATGGCCACGCAGGACCATGGCAGCGTCTGTACAAAGAGGAGCCGGTGGGGCTCCTGCTGCCCGCCTTCTTGCACCCCTGCTGCTGGGGCCCTGTGGCCGTCCAGAGCCTGGAGGTGGGCGGGGGTCCCTGTGGGCAGAGGGACCAGTTGTGCGTTTCTGTCCTTTCAGTGGCTGCGGCTTCCCTGTCCTCTGACTCCTGTGGGAGCTGGAATCTGTGCCTCCCCGTCCCTGGCATGCTGGCACTGGCTGGGTCCCATGGTGCTTTGGTTGGTCCCCGATGAGCAAGCTGTGTCTCCATCCTGTGGGGGGATGGGGTGGCAGATGGCCCAGTGGGCCTGTGCACGGCTTTGCCTGGGGCCGGCAGTCTGCAGAAGGAACAGACTTCCCCCTCCACACCCGAGAGCTCCTTCCTGGCGGCAATGTATATTATGAAGGCAATGTGAACTTTGTAAAACTTAAGCACCTTACACATTTTTTTTTAAGAGACAGGGTCTTGCTCTGTTGCCCAGGCTGAAGTGCAGTGGCACCATCACGGCTCACTGCAGCCTCCAACTCCTACACTCAAGTGATCCTCCTGTCTCAGCCTCCTGAGTAGCTGGGACTACATGTGTGGAGCCACCACACCCGGCTAACTTTTGCATTTTTGCAGAAATGGAGTCTCCCTATGTTGCCCAGGCTGTTCTCCAACTCCCAACCCCAAGCAATCTGCCTGCCTTGGTCTCCCAAAGTGCTGGGATTACAGGCGTAAGCCACTGCACCTGGCCTAAAACTATTAAAGCATAGATCCACATTACCAGATTTTTGAAAAGAAGATAGAGAAGAGAACCCAAAATAATCATGATGACAGTAATACCCCCACCGTGGGGGGTGCCTTTTGTGCCTGCTTGTATACCCCGGGGGGCAGTGCCTCTATCATCCTTTTTTCATGAGGGGAAACTGAGGCTGGGGATTGTTAGATCCTGCCCAGGGTCCCCCCACAAGGAGAAGGGGACACAGGCTGGGGCAGGTGCTGGGTCCCTCCCCTTCTTCCACCTCCAGGAAGTCTTCCAGGCTGAGCCCTGACCTGGTGACCTGTGAATCGGTTTATCTGTCCGTCCTGCCTCCTGCTATGTGGGGCCGCTGGAGGCGGGGCCGCTGCTGGCTCCCAAGGGAAGGAGGGAATCTGCCCAGAAGCGGCTCAGGGACCTCGCAGAGGAGGCTCCGGCTTGGCTGCCCTGCTGGCAGCCTGGGGGGACCTGGGGCCCGCGGCGCCCCTCCCTGCAGCGGTCTCTGCTCACCCTTGGCCCCGGGAGCTGCCCCCAGCGGCCCCTGCTCTCCCTCGGGTCGGCCTTCCGCAACGCCGCCCTGCCCTAGACCGTATTTCGTGCTTGTTGGTGTCACAGACTTTGCCACGCAGGGTCAAGAGTTACCCTGCCCCGTCCTTTGTGTTCTAAATTTAATTGTTGCACTCCTTTTCTCCCTTAAAAAGATCAGTAAAAACTGTTAATTTGATCAATACTTAATTTTTTCACCCGAGCGCGCGTCTTCTGCTGGCCCGTGATAAGCTGGCGGCAGGGCAGAGGGACAAGTGAATTGTCAGGAATTTCTCCAGTCTCCCGCGGCCACTCCACCACTTAGAGCCGTGTAATTTATACCCCGGCAGCCGCTCTGCAATTACCCTGTCTATTGCTGTCGACAGTATCGCGCTATCTTTTAAATAGATCCGGCCTGGCTGGTCCAGACGAGCGTCCAGGACAAATGACGCCATCCCTCATCCCGCAAGCCCTAAAGAGATAAGTCCCTTAAAGAGGGGACCATTTATCAGCTGATACAAGCTGGATACTTACAAGCCCACTTCTTTGTTTGGGCTCTTTTCAGATTTCCAAAGCTATTGATCTACCGAGGGGGGAGCCGGGTTGGGGCGTGGGGCGCGGGGCGACTGTCAGGGGCGGCCCTGGGCCTGAGCTCACCCTACTCGGAGGGGCCCTGGCGTGGCTCCGGGCCGCGGTCCAGCCTCCCCTGGCCTGGGCTGAGCGCACCTGCCGCGCCGGCTTCCCTCCTGCGGGCGCGCGGGGACGTGGGTGCCTCTGCTGACTCCAAACGTCTGGGTTGCAGACCAGGCGCCTGGGCCAAGCCCTGGACCCGCGAGGCCGGTGTCGGGAAGGCTCAGATGCCCCCGGCCCCCGACCCAGGACCTGGTGCCTCTCTGGCCGCCACCGGCTCCCGCACAGGACGCCTGTGTCCCCGCCGGCGGAGAAAGCCCGACCCTCTGCTGCGCCCGCTCGTGCTCCGCATGGGCCCTCGGCCCTGGGCACTGGGGAGAAAGTGACCCAGCTGGGCTGGGATGGGGCAGCAGCTGCCCGAATCAGGGCCGGTTCCGTTGCCATAGGCTAGCCGGGCAGGGTGTGAGCGGCCCCGGGCCCCGCAGCCAGGACCTCGGCCATGTGCCCTGCAGACGCCCCTCCTGCGGGGCCCGTGTCTGGGGGGCTCCAGGCGTGTGCGGGTGGGACGTGGTGCCCGGCGCCCACTCAGGCGCCCCCGCGGCCGCCTCTCCTCCCTGTGGGCAGCGATGGCAGGGGCTGCCTGGGCTCTGCGGCGAACTCTGTTCCCTCCTGCTCCTTCCACCCAGGCCTCAATCACCTCCTTCCTTCCATGCTGTGAAGATCCTGCCCTCCCATCCCCAGGCTTCCAGGCTCTCCAGTGTCACGGCCCTGGGCTCACCCTGGCTTGGCCCAGGAGAGGGGCTGGGCAGGGGGTGCAGAACCGCGTGTCGGGGGCCCCTGGGTGTGGCCGGCGCCCGGGAGCCCTAGGGCCCCTCTCCTGCCCCTGTTTTCCCCCAGGAAGGACCGCAGCGCCCCCCAGCCTCCGGGATCCTGCCCCCTGGCCCCCTCGGCCTTGCTCAGGAATCCTGGGCTTGGGCCCTGCCCCTCCGGGACTTTGGGGGTAATCTGTGTGGTCTCGGCCTCGCGCCCTCCAGGCCTGCGCGCTCTGACGCTGCCTCCCGGAGCCCTCGCTCCGCCCACGGAGACTGATGGGGCCGCGTGTGGACGTGGCTGGTACGCGCCGTGCACAGCCGGTCATCTGTTTGGTCTTAATTTAGAAAACCTTCACGAGATTATTACGTGGCATTTTTTTTTCCCTGGGGTGTTTGATGGTATCAGGTGGGTTCAGAGCTCAGCCTCTCCAGTTTATCTTCCTCAGAGAGCTGCATTAACACGTAGGCACAGCGGCCCGACAAACCCCACAGAACAAATAGAAACGATCTTAGCAGCGTCTCTCTTTAAAAATAGCATCCATTTATCATCCAGCCGTATGGTGCTGGGCTCAGCCTGTGGTCTGGGGTGACCGACTGCTTTGGGCTTAAATATCCACTCTCCCGTTTCACTGTATTTAAAGTCTTCTCTTTCTACCCTGCACCCAAGAAGGAGGCCCCCAAAACTTGTGTCAGCAGCCAGAAAGGGGTGGGCAGCTGGCCTTCGGGGTGGAGCTTCCCAATTTGTAAAGGAAGGAGGAGCCCTGGAGGGTGACCTCCTGCGGCCCTCTGGGGAGTCCCTCAGCTCAGGGTCTCTGGGTTTCCTTCTGCTGCTAAGATCCCTCTCTGGGTCATGCTTTCCCTCCAGGGACTCCCAGGCCCCTGGATGGATCCCAAACTCACACCCAGAAGGAGCTGAAAGTAGGGTAGGGCCTCAGGCCAGACCATGTGCTCAGAAGGAACCAGGACCTACCTATTCCTTTGTCCACTCACAATAACATGAACTAGGGTATTTGATGTGCAGGTGGGCCTTGTGTGGGGTGTTGCAGTTGCTGTGGGAAACAAGACTGACTGCCACCCCATCCTGGCAGAGCTTACCATGCCATGGCCAACACTCTCTGTAGGAATGTCATGGGGTACATGTGCATGCGCATTCTCTCTCCTTCATTCCTGGCAAGTACAGGGGTGGCTGGCTTCTTTAGGTGCATCACAGGTCCCGGAGTGCAGAGTCCACAGTGTGTCCAGAGGGGGGCCAGCCTGCAGAAATAAACCCTAATGCAACAGTGAGTACAATAAATGTAAATGAGTTAGACTCAATGATCTGAAAGTAGAGACTCACAGGTTGAACGAAAAACAAACTGCTGCTGTATGCTCCTTAGAGAAGACACATTTTAAAGGAGAAAGGGCACAGAAAGATTGAAAATCAAGGGATGGAAAAGAGATACACCAGGCAAATATGTACACCCAAAGCAATGTGGGATAGCAATTCTAATGTCAGACAAAATAGAAATAAGGCCAAAAAATCACAAAAGACAAAGAAGAATATTAGGGACTAGTTCAAAAGAACAACAGACCAAGAACATAGAATGATTATATATATATATATATATATATATATATATATATATATATATATATGCATTAAATAATATAGTCTTAGAACATATAAAACTACAACTGAGAATATTACCAGGAGAAATATATGACTAAACTGTGTTATTTAGAATTTTCGACAAATTCCTCTTATAAAACAATAGATTAAATATACAAAAGTAAGTCTATTTAATTTGAATGGCATAATAAATTAATTGAATTACCTCTATTATCTATCAGTTTACACATCTCATGGAGAATACAGATTTCTTTTGTGCACACTTATTATTCACAAAAACAGGCCATGTGCTAGGCTACTGTATGGTCACCTTCAGAGGCAACCTACCCAAAATTTGTTTCAAATATTGGGAACGGATGGCTTCACACATACACACCAACAGGGCTTGAAATGGTTTGGATTGTTTGCATAACTGAGGTCTCTGAGGAGAGCAGGGCACGCCTCCCAAGCAGGTCAAGAATGGCTTGAGAGAGCAAGGAATGGAAAGGTTTTTATTGTGGTTCAGGGCTGGACCTGGGTGAGAGTTTTCATGTGCAGGCAGGGCCTTCTGTGGTTTGAATTCCCCACCAGCATCAAATGAGGGAGCACCCGGGCTTTCTTATCAGCTTGTCCAGATGTGGGGCACAGGAGAAAAGGGAGGGACACTTAAAAGCTGTTGGCAGCCAGACATCAAAAAATGGAGTCGGGCTGCTTATTTCAGCCACAAAAGAAAATGTGATAAATTTCAAAGAATTGGCATAATAAAGACTGTATCCTTTCACTATAATGCAATACAATAAATAAAAGAATTGTAAAAAAAAGGAAAGTCCAGATATCTGGGAAGAAAAATCATAAGTACTGAATACCCCTGGTTAAGGGAAAAATCATAAAGAAATTATACAACATTTAAAGCTCTGTGTGTCAGGAGCTGTGAGACATACCCAAAGCAGTACCTAGAGAAAAAAAATTATGATTTTGAATAAACTTATCAGAATACAAACAAAAGTCAAAAATAAATGAGCAAAGCATTTAACTCAATAGGCTAGAAAAAGAACTAAAGATATAGCTAAGGAAACAAGATGTAAATAAAGAAAAAGCAGAAATCAGTGAAATAGAAAACATTTTTAACATTAAAAAGTCAGAGAAGATTTTCAAAGTTAAAACTGGACCTTGTAAATATAATAAGACAGGCAATACTGATGACAAAGGAGAGAAGAAGCAAAGTAAATATAGAATAAAAATGGAAAATAATGGCAAAAATAATGAAGGGAAAATTATGAATGACTATACACTAATATATTCAGAAAGCCCAAATAAAACGAATACATTTCTGTAAAAATATAAAGTGCCAAATTGACACCACAGTAAACAGAAAATGTAAAAGACTAATATCCATTAGCTATTGAAAATTGAAATGAGAAAAAGAAAGAAATTGAAATGGAAAACAAATAATTCCCCACTAAAAATCTTCAAGAAAGAGAAATTATTTCTCATGCAAACTCTTCCAGAGAACAGAAAAAAAAGAAATGTCCTGCACCTCATTTTATGGGCAAGCAACACTCTTATTCCAAAATCAGAAAAGACAATTGTAAGGCCTTTCAATAAAAAAATTATAAATAAAATATAACCAACCAACCCCAAGTGTATGTTTCTAAAAATCATTATCAAATAGGTTTATTTCAGGAATGCAAAGATGGTTCAACATCAGAAAAATCTATTGACATGATTTACCTCGTGAATGGACTAGAGGGGAAGAATTGCATGATTATCTGTACAGATTAAAAAAGGATTTGATAGCACTGGATCTCTATTTATTGTTTAAACTCTCAGAAAACTAGTAATGGACAGAACATTTTCTTAACTTGATCAAAAGCTACCTATTTAAAGACTGACAGCAACATCACTATTTATTAGAAAAACTTTACACAGCATCTCCCATAGAAGCGAGTACGAGATAAAGGAATATCATGTCTATTTCTCAAATTCGTCACCAGGATGAATAGAATAAGATAAGAAAAATGCATAGGAAGTACTGGATTGGAAAGGGAGGAACACACTGCCATCATATGCAGATGATGTGATTACCTACACACAAAGCCCAACAGAATCTGCAGATACATCAATAGAACTTATAAAACGATTTAGCAAAGCTGACTGATACAAGATCATTGTATCATTGTCCATTTATGCATAATAAATTACTCTCAAGTTTAGCAGCTCAGAACAATAAACATTTATTTTTTCAAAGCATGGGAGCAGGCACTTGGGAGCAGCTAAGTTGGGTGGTTCTGGCTCAGGGTCTCTCAGGAAGCTGAGATTGAAGTGCTGGCTGGAGCTGAAGTCACCTGAAGGCTTGCCTGGGCTGGAGAATTCGTCTTGAGGATAGCTTCACTCATAGAAGACCTCATCTCCTTACTGGCATTGGTGGAAGGTTCTTTCCTGACCATGTGGACCTGCCCGTACTTGGATGTCCTCATGACACAGCAGGTGCCCCCACCCCCAGCAAGTGACCTGGAAGCCAGCAAGTAAGGAGGGCACCACAGGGCCTTTGATGTCCAGTTCTCGGCAGTCACGCACCATCATTTCTGCCACATTCTGTTCATAAGAAGAGATCACTAAGCACAGCCCACACTCAAAGCGAGTGGAATTAAGCTCCACCTCTTGAAGGGAAGGGCACTGAAGAATCTGGGAGCATATTTGTAAACCACCACAATTATCTTACAAACATCACTAGTGTTCTGAGGGAAAACAGAAACTGCAAATGGGGAACCACCACAACAGTGTTGAAACAATTGAGGACCTAGGAATTCACCTGAGGAAGGACGCACCAGACCCTATTTGGAGAATGGGAAAATCCCAGTCTGCTGAAAAGGCGGGCATGAAAGCAGAGCTGCATCACAGCCGCCGATGGCTGACTTAGCATTAAGGATGCTAGTATTCCCTGAATTAATCTGTAAATTAAATATAATTCAAATGAAAGATTTTTGAGAAGTGTAATAAACTAATTTTAAAATGTACATTGAAAAATGAAGATACAAGGACATCTTAGTCTTCGAAAAAGAGCAAAGGGAGGGGGAATTACCCTACATTTATTAAAATATTAAATATAAATTAAAATACAATCATTTAAAATTTATTAAAATTGCCTACGGTTATAAAATGTATTAAAACATGCTACAAAGACATAAAAACAGTACGCCAATGGCACTGGAACAAATAAATAATAAAACTGAAGACAGATTCCCCCTGATAAATCCATGTTTTTGTGGCAGCTTGATGTCACAGGGTGATATAATATGTCTTTGGAAAGGGAGGAGGTTTTTTTATTTTCGAGGCAGAGTCTCGCTCTGTCACCTAGGCTGGAGTGCAGTGGCGCAATCTCAGCTCACTGCAACTTCTGCCTCCTGGGTTCAAGCGATTCTCCTTCCTCAGCCTCCTGAGTAGCTGGGATTACAGGCATGCACCACCACGCCTAGCTAATTTTTGTATTTCTAGTAGAGATGGGGTTTCACCATGTTGGTCGGGCTGATCTTGAACTCCTGGCCTCAAATGATCTGCCTGCCTCGGCCTTTCAAAGTGCTGGGATTACAGACGTAAACCACTGTGCCCGGCCAGAAAGGGAAGAGGTTTTAAAAATGCCTACTGTTTTTAAGCAACAGGTTTGGGAAAAGCTTCATGACATTGGTCTGGGTAATGATTTTTTGGATATGACCCCAAAAGCACAGGCAACAAAAGAGAAAATAGATAATTGGAAGTATGTCACACTAAAAAGTTTTTGCACAGTAAAGGAAACAATCAGCAGAGTGAAGAGACAACCAGTGGAATGGGAGAAAATGGTTATAAACTGCCCATCTGATGAGGGGTTCATATCGAAAATATACTAGGAACTCAAACAACCCAATAGCAGGAAAACAAATAACCTGATTGAAAAATTGGCAAAGGACCTAAGTAGACATTTCTCAAAAGAAGACACACAAATGGCCAACGGGTTGTAAAAAGTCACCCAGTGTCATGAACAGTCAGGGAAATCAAAATCAAAATCCCAGTGAGATATCACCCGACACCTTTTAGAACAGCTACTATCAAAAAGATGAAAGATAACAAGTGTTGGTGAGGATGTGGAGAAAAGTGGAAAAGAGTACAGAGGTGCTTCAAAAAATTAAGAATAGACCACCACATGATTCAGCAATTCAACTTCTTCTTCTTTTTTTTTTTTTTTTGAGACGGAGTCTCGCTCTGTTGCCCAGGCTGGAGTGCAGTGGCGCGATCTTGGCTCACTGAAAGCTCTGCCTCCCAGGTTCACACCATTCTCCTGCCTCAGCCTCCCGAGTAGCTGGGACTACAGGCGCCCGCCACCACACCTGGCTAATTTTTTATATATATATTTTTTTAGTAGAGACAGGGTTTCACCGTGTTAGCCAGGATGGTCTCGATCTTCTGACCTCGTGATCCGCCCGCCTCGGACCCCCAAAGTGCTGGGATTACAGGTGTGAGCCACCGCGCCTGGCCTCAACTTCTGAGAATATATTGAAAGAAAATAAAATCAGCTTCATGGCTGGGGGGGTGGACCACCTGAGGTCAGGAGTTTGAGACCAGCCTGGCCAACATGATGAAACCCCGTCTCTACTAAAAATACAAAAAATTAGCTGGGCATGGTGGTGCATGCCTGTACTCCTAGATACTCGGGAGGCTGAGTCAGGAGAATCGCTTGAACCCAGGAGGCAGAGATTGTGGTGAGCCGAGATCGCGCCACTGCACTCCAGCCTGGGCAACAAGAGGGAAACTCTGTCTCAAAAAATAAAAAAAAAATCAGTCTCACCAAGAGAGACCTGCACGCCCATGTTCATGATAGTACTATTTGTAACAGCCAAGACATGGAATCAATCTAAGTATCCATTGACAGATGAATAAAGGAAATGTGGTCTATATACACAATTGAGTACTACTCAGCCTTTAAAAAGAAGGAAGCTGGGTGAGGTGGCTCATGCCTATAATCCCAGCACTTTGGGAGGCTGAGGCGGGAGGATTGCTTGATCCCAGGAGTTCAAAGCCAGCCCAAGCAACATGGTGAAACCCTGTCTGTACTAAAAATACACACACACACACACAAATTAGCCAGGTGTGGTGGCGCATTCCTGTAGTCCCAGCTACTTGGGAGGCCAAGGTGGGAGGATCACCTGAGCCTGGGAAGTCAAGGCTGCAGTAAGCCAAGATTGCTACTGCACTCTAGCCTGGGTGACAGAGTGAGACCCTGTCTCAGAAACAAAGAGAAGGAAATCCTGTTATTGACAATGTGGATGAACATGGAGGACCTTATGTTCAGCAAAATAAGCTAGGCACAGAAAGACAAATACTGCGTGATCCACTCATGTGTGGACTCTAAAGAAGTTGAACTGAGATGTAGAGGGTAGAGACATTGGGCCGGGTGCAGTGGCTCACACCTGTAATCTCAGCACTTTGGGAGGCCGAGGCAGGCAGATCATTTGAGGCCAGGAGTTCGAGATCAGCCTGGCCAATGTGGTGAAACCCCGTCCCTACTAAAACAAAAATTAGCTGGGTGTGGTGGCATGCGCCTGTAATCCCAGCTACTGAGGAGACTGAGGCAGGAGAATTGCTTGAACCTGGGAGGCAGAGGTTGCAGTGAGCCAAGATTGTGCTACTGTACTCCATCCAGCCTGAGTGACAGAGCAAGACTCTGTCTCCAAAAAAAAAAAAAAAAAAAAAAAGAGAGAGAGAGAGAGAGTAGAGACATTATTAGTCAAAAGGTACAAAATTTCAGTTATTAATAGATTGGAAGAGTAAGTTCAAGAGATCTACTGTACAACGTGTGACTATAATTAATCATATATTGTGTTGTTGAAAGTCATTGAGAGTAGATTTTGTGTTCTCACTACAAAAAATGATAAGCATATGAGGTTATTTAGCTAAATTTGTTACTTAGCTAAATTTAGCCATTCCACAATGTATGCATATTTCAAAACATCATCTTGTACATAGTAAACATATATAATTTTAGTCAGTTAAAAAATTAATTAATTAAAAAAACAAGTCTGCAAATACCATGACATTCCTCCCACTGAAAGGTGAAGTCTGTCTCCTCTCCTTAACTCTGGATTGGCCCTTGTGACTTACATGTAACCAACAGAATGCAATGCAAATGACACTGCATGACTTTCGAGGCTAGGTCAGAGAAGGCCATGCAGCCTCTGCCTGTCCTCTTGGGACACTTGCCATAGGGGCAGCCAGGCACAGAGTAAAAAGTCTGACTGTCTCAAGACCGCCATGCTGGAGGGGCCACATGTAAGCATTTGTGTTGACAGCCCAGCCAAGCTCCCAGCTGACAGCCAGCCTCCATTGCCAGCCACGGGAGTGGCCAATGGGGACATCCAGCCCAGGTGGCTCTAGCCCCAGCTGACATCCAGGTGCAGCCACATGCCACTTTCTCTCTTCCCAAATAAGAGCTGCCCTTGCTGAACCTTTCCCAAGTTACTCATGCTCAAAAATGTGAGCAAATTAAGATACTTGTTTTAAGATGCAAGGTTGTAGAATAATTTGTTATGCAGAAATAGTAACTGCAACATATAATGTTGGGAAAATTGCCTCACTTTATGGAAAATGGAAGGCAGGATCCCTACCTCATACCATATACAAAGAGAAACCTAAACATAAGAGATTCAGGACCTAAATGTAAACGGTAAAGCTGTAGGCTCATAGGAGAAAATGCTGTGGAATTTCTTTGTGACCTTGGATAGGAAAATATTTCTTAAGCAAGACTCCAAAAGAACAAATCATAAGATGAAAAATGGATGGATTTGAATATATCAAAATGAAGGATTCTGTTTGACAAAGAATTCGATAGGCCATGTTAATGAATGGACGACAGAGGAATAGATGATATCGCAACATCTGAAACCCACAAGGGATTGATAGAATACACAGGAAACAGCCATCAATCACCTTGAAGAAGACAAGGCCTCCAAAAGAAAAAGGGGCAGAGACACGAACAGGAGATTCTCAGAGAGAACCTGAATGGCTGATGATAGACAAGGAGTGGTTGTTCAGCTTCTCCAGTGATCAGAAAGACGCAAATGGAAACAGCAGTGAGATAAACTCTGCACCCATCAGAGAGGCAAAAATTAGATAATTGTATAGTTCCCAGGATTGACAAGGATGTGGGCCAAGGAGAACCTCTGGCTGGAGAGGACGTCTCCTGGAAAGCAAGCTGGCGGCAGGTGGTGAAAGCAGGCAGGTGCCCACCCATGAGCCGGCAAGAACGACACTAACGCTTCAATCCTCGCACAAGCCCCGGGAGGAGGGACAGGTATCAGGCGGAGCACAGCAGCAGGGTCAGGAGCACAAAGGCCAGGATGGCTCCACCTGAGCTGCTGGGAGCTGCAGGACTGGGAGGGTTGTGCACACTTGCTGTGCCTTGTAACCGGAGCTGCACATGAGACGTGTGAGAAGCACATGAGGTGATCATGCAAAGTGCTTGATCCCTGCTGGCACAGACCAGAGATTATTGTCCTCCTGGGAGCACAGATCAAGCACAGGGAAGCCAGTGAATGGCTCGTTCCCCAAGGGAGACACGAGACTCCTCTGACCAGTGACTTTGGCCTTAGGCCTGTGCTGGGTCTAAGATGTGGCCACCTTGCCTCCTGCTGGTCCCGCTCTTCTTCATGGGGCAGACCTGGGACCCCGCTTCCTTTGCTTTTCTCCCATCTCTAACTGTACCCTGCCTGCAGAGGACACTCCGCCCACCTCCTCTTGGTGCTGGTCCCCTCCCCAGTGCACTCTCGACAGCCTCTGGCCCTCCCAGAGAACATGATTTTGCTGGGTCTCTGGCACCCACAGTGTGTTCACCCAGCACACCCATCTCCCTTTGCCATCTCCCAGGACAACTGGACATTGCCATTTCACTGAGAGTTAACTATCACTTTGTTTAGGCTCCTAAGAGCCAACTAGCAGTGAGTTTGCCCTATCACCCAGGTTCTTGACAGGATGTTAATTCTCATGACCAAGAAAGAGTCGTCAAATCAATGCATTCTTGCTCATCCAGGCTGATCCCTTCATCTGGGACCTAGAAATCCAATCCCAAGGTTTTTCTCTGGATCCTGCCTATATATGTAGCTATTTTTTGTTTTGCTTTAGTTGAGACAGGGTCTCACTCTGTTGCCCATGTTGGAGTGCAGTGGGGAACATAGTTCATGGCAGACTCGACCTCCTGGGCTCCAGTGATCCTCCTGTCTCACCCTCTCTAGTAGCTAGGACTACAGATGTGCGCCACCACACACCTGGCTAATTTTTGTTTTTGTAGAGATGGGGTCTCACCATTTTGCCCAGGCTGGTCTTGAACTCCTGGGCTCAAGAGCTCCTCCCGCCTCGGCCTCCCAAAGTGCTGAGATCGCAGGCGGGAGAGGACTGATCTCGGGCTGGGTGGCTCTCTGAGGCCAAGGTCAGCCTCCAAATGGGGTCTCAGCCAGGGCCGCCAGCCTCCTCCTGGTCTTCCCAGCCTGGGTGCAGGGTGCAGGGCCTCCCGTCCACTCTCTCTTGGGTCTGTGTAGGTGGCATACATGGCACTGGCTCACTCCCTGCCCTTCTGGTCTTTCCCCGCGGGGTGGTGGTGACGTCCGTGGCAGGGAGGGGAGTGTCGTTCAGCTGGGTCCAGGAGGAACGCCGTGGACTCTGTCCAGCCCTGCTAGGCAGCATGCCCTGATGGCCGTGGCCTGGCTGGAGTATAGGTCACAGAGCATCTGCCCTGCCACACTGCCCCCACGGCAGGGACCCTTCTTATCATATCAGTAGTAAACGCTGAAACGTGACATGAGAATGGCGTCTCCTTGCTGTCCTAAAGCTCATTTCTTGGATTGCTGACAAGGTTCGGCTGTTTGCCATGTGCTGCCTTCAAGTAGTCAAGGAGCTCTGTGTGGCTGATGTAAAGAAATTTTGGGTGGGGAGTGATGGCTCACACCTGTAATCCCAGCACTTTGGGAGGCCAAGGCAGGAGGATCACTTGAGCTCAGGAGTTGGAGGAGGCTGCAGTGAGCTGTGATCACACCACTGCACTCACACCCAGATGACAGAGCAAGACCCTATATCAAAAAAAAAAAATGCTGGGCATGGTGGCTCAAGCCTGTAATCCCAGCACTTTGGGAGGATGAGGAGGGCAGATCACCTGAGGTCAGGAGTTCGAGACCAGCCAGGGCAACATGGAGAAACCCTGTCTCTACTAAAAATATAAAAATTAGCTGGGTATGGTGGCGGGTGCCTGTAATCCCAGTTACTTGGGAGCCTGGGCAGGAGAATTGCTTGAACCCAGAGGCAGAGGTCGCAGTGAGCCAAGACTGCCCCATTGCACTCCAGCCTGGGCGACAAGAGCAAAGCTCTGTCTTAAAAACAAAACAAAACAAAAAAAGATATTTGGCCTGCTTAGAAACACATACATGTCTTAAAAGTCTAATTGGGTTTTGCCAGTAATATTCCAGATATGCAGGACCACGAGGAAGAGAAAATTCAGGTAACAGTTAAATATTTAAGAAAATGACCGATTTCTAGAACATTTGGAGAAAATTGGAAACTCAAAATTGGTTTTGTCTTTAACTTCTACTTCTGTAAGGGAGGGGACATTATGATGAAAGTCTGGTCTGAGCAACTGTGGCATGCAAGACCACAGGAGGCGAGGCCAGGGTGAGGGGCGGGGCCTGGGCCGCAGGCGGGGCCCTGAGCAGAGGTGGGGCTCTGAGTGGGAAGCGGGGCCCTGAGTGGAGGCGGGACCTGGGTGAGAGGCGGTGCCTGGGTGGGAGGCGGGGCCCTGAGTGGGAGCCGTGGCCCAGGTTAGAGGGGGGGCCTGGGTGGGAGGCGGGGCCCTGAGTGGAGGCGGGGCCTGGGTGAGAGGCGGTGCCTGGGTGGGAGGCGGGGCCCTGAGTGGGAGCCGTGGCCCAGGTTAGAGGGGGGGCCTGGGTGGGAGGCGGGGCCCTGAGTGGAGGCGGGGCCTGGGTGAGAGGCGGTGCCTGGGTGGGAGGCGGGGCCCTGAGTGGGAGCCGTGGCCCAGGTTAGAGGGGGGGCCTGGGTGGGAGGCGGGGCCCTGAGTGGAGGCGGGGCCTGGGTGAGAGGCGGTGCCTGGGTGGGAGGCGGGGCCCTGAGTGGGAGCCGTGGCCCAGGTTAGAGGGGGGGACCTGGGTGGGAGGCGGGGCCTTGAGTGGGAGGCGGGGCCTGGGTGGGAGGCGGGGCCTTGAGTGGGAGGCGGGGACCTGGACGGGAGGCAGGACCTGGGAGGGAGGGAGGGCTCGGGCAGGAGGCGGGTCCCTGAGCGGGAGGCAGGGTCCTCAGTGGGAGGCGTGGCCTGGGCGGGAGGCGGGGCCCTGAGTTGGGGGCAGGGCCTGGGCAGGAGGCAGGGCCTAGGCGGGAGGTGGGGCCCGAGGTAGGAGGCGGGGCCTAGGGCGGGAGGTGGGGCCCGGCTCCCTGAGTGGAGGCGGGGTCCGGGCGGGAGGCGGGTGGGGTCTGGGGCTCCGTGCACCCCGCGCCGGGGATGCTTTCTCCCTAGCTTGTTGCGCCGTCCGGTTCTGCCCCAGCCTTAGATCTCAGCTCTGAGCTGCCCTCACATCCCTGCAGATCTTTTCTGGCCACACTGGTGGCCCGCGGGGTATGGCTGCTTCCGTCTCGCGGCGTTGGCCTCCCTGACTGGCCGCCGGTGTAGGGCGCCGTGGGCGGGGTCCCTGGGGCGAGGCTGCCTGGCCTCCGCGGTTGGTTCGGCGGCCGCGGGGCTGCAGCTCCCGGCTCGCACTCCATCATCGACGGATGACAGCGGGAACGGTGGGAGTTCATTACAGGGACCATGAATTGTTGGAGGTAATTTAGATTACAATTTAAAGTTTAATTTAAAAATCTATCAACAAATGTGAAAGTACTGGAGGAACATTTTAAAATGCACTTTAATCTCACCAGCACAAATAGCTTCTCGGGGCTCTAAACATCATCACCTGGAAAAACAGTAAAACTTTACTGCATCTTTAATTAAATTACAAACACAAAGGATAATTAACTTTTTTATTTTTATTTTATTCCTGCCATTGTTTCTCCTTCGAGTCAATATCTTCCGGCTGCAGGAGCGGCTGTTAGGAGGAAGTTTACGGCGAGGCCTGATGGGTGGATGCCCCGGGGCGGATGCTCGGCCCCTGCGCCCTCCCTGCGGGCCCCGCAGCGCTGGGGCCGCGCCCCTTCGTATCCCCACAGCGCGGACACTCCTGGCCAGCCCGTGGCGGGAGGCGCCCTGGGGACACGCGTGGCCGTGGCTCGCGGGTGTCGCGTGTGCTCACCTCGGACCTGGGCGTTCTGAGTCGTAACTCACTCACGCCTCGCAGCGGCGCTGGGAGGCAGCCCCACCCCCTTTTACAGGCGGGGAAACGGGGGCTCAGAGAGGTCGGGCCATCCGCCCTGGTCACACAGAGGCTGCGTCACCGGCTGACTCGAGCCTGGCCCCACCCGTGCGCGTTGCACTTCTGGGTGCTGGGCTGCGGCCCAAGCCTCCTCCCCAGGACGCGGGGCTGGGACAAGGGGGCGAGTGCGGAGGGCGGGGGGGTGGCGCAGGCGCCCACGCAGGGGCTTGACATGCCGGTCCCCATGGGGTAGTAGACCGTGGGGGCCCGAGGGCGGCCGGGGTAGGGAGGGGCCTCCCACGAGGGCCGTGGGCGCAGCGGCAGGGCCCAGCCGAGGCCACCAGGGGGCGCCCAGCAGGCGCGGGCGGGGCCGGGGGCCGGGGCTCTGGCTGGGACCCTCGGGCGGGGATGGCGGCTAGGGGCGGGGGCGCGCCAGGGCAGGGAGGGCAGGGGGGGCAGGGGCCTGACGGGAGCCCCTGGAGGCGCAGCCGCCTCCGGGCTGGTCGGATTCGGGAGCGCTCGGGAGGGGCGTCCAGCAGCGCTGGGAAGGGGACCTCGATTCCGGCCTGGAGGGCGGGCGGTGCAATGGGGGGAGCGCCCCGGCTCTGCGCCTGCGGGGGTGGGGGGCCTAGGGGTGTCGCAGCCGGGCCGCGCCCTTTCCCGCCTGCTCTGCCTCGAGAGGCGACCCCTCTCCTCCCCCTCTTCTCTCCCCTCCCCCTCTTCTCTCCCCTCCCCCTCTTCTCTCCCCTCCCCCTCTTCTCTCCCCTCCCCCTCTTCTCTCCCCTCCCCCTCTTCTCTCCCCTCCCCCTCTTCTCTCCCCTCCCCCTCTTCTCTCCTCTCCCCCTCTTCTCTCCCCTCCTCCGCCCCTTCCCTGCCCTGCCCTCCCCTCCCTTCCCTGGTGACGGTGGGAGCTTTGGTTCGCTGCTTGCCTCCTCCGAGCCTCGTTGTCTGCAGAGGGCGGTTCGGGGTAGGGGGGTCGCGACCTCGTAGGTGGGCGTGGAGGGCAGGGCGCTTCCCATGGGGACCTGCAGAGTCTAGTGGGTCTGTCGCGCTCACGACAAATCTTCTGCCCCCAGCAAGGCCCGTGTGATGCCCTCTCCCCGTAACTGAGGGTCCCCTCACCTCCTACCCCCACACGTTCCTGCAGAGCTTCCAGGCCACACCGGCTCTCACGCCAACGCTCGCGCCCTTCTACACACCGGGTGCGGGCACTAGCGCACGCACCGCTGTCCCCAAGGCTGGTCGGCCCCTCCTGCCTGGCACGCCCGCCCCTGGCACTTGCACGCAGACGGGGTGCAGGCCACCCGGGGTGTTCAGTTTTAGTGCAGTGGCTGCTTAATTATTGGTTAATCTAGCAATTTAGCATGCTTCATTTAATTCTAATTAGGAGAATTAATAGGCAGGGAATAGCGATTTCAATAGACTGGCACAAAACAAAACCTAGCCTGGACATCGTGCCGGTCTGGGGGCCGTGTCCAGGCTTGGGGGGGGCCTGGGGGTGTTGACAGCCAGGACTGCAGACCTTCCCAGGCGCCTGAAGGTCGTGGCAGGGGAAGGCGCTCAGGGCAGGCAGGAATCGCAGGCAGGAATCGTGCTGTGGCTGCTCACCCCGGCCTGCAAGGGCAGCCAGGTCAAGGGCATGGGGAGAACCCCCAGAGCATCCCCGGGCAGCACCCCCACAGCCCCCCACCTGCACCCCCGCAGCCCCTCACCTGCAGCCCCCGACCCGCAGCCCTGCGGCTGCCTGGTCCCGGCAGAGCCTGTGTTTGTCTCTGCTCATCAGGCGGCTCCCTGACAAGGCCCCGACATTGGACAAGGCTGTCCCTCTAATTAAGGTGCTAATTGAATTAAATGGCCGCGGTAATGAGCAGATGAGCGGCATAAAAAGTACAGAGTCAGATAGGCCAATTAACAAGAGCGCCGCGCATAATTATAACATTGGAAATACATGCAGCTCGCTCCAACATTGTTAATTGTTACCGGGGGATTTATGGTAATTGGCGCACAACAGGCAGCCGGGGAACCTGCCCAGGGCTGGTAATTAAAAAAATGATATTCTACACAAACGCCGGATGGCCTAATTAGGACTTGATTTACATAAAGGCCTTTGAGGAGGTGCTGGGTACCTCACCGCTGCTGCTGGGGCCACTCTGGCCAGCAGTCCACGAGGTGAGACCAGCAGGCAGTAGCCCCCCTACCACCCCGCACCCTGTGGCCACGGGAGCTGCTGGCGTCCAGGCTCCGTCTGCTGGCGGGGTCCGCATGGCCATCCCTGAGCCCTGAGCACAGGCCCTGCCTCTGTCTGGGAGAGGACCTCCAGGGCCCAAGGCCACCTTCCCCTGGGTTCGCCACTGTCCTGGAGGGGGCAGGTCCATTCGTCTGGCACATGGTCCCCTCTGCTCTCCCTGTGTGCTCCCCTCCTGCAGTGTCCCAGTGAGTGTGCCTGGCCAATGTCCTGGGCACGTGGTCAGGCAGGTGATCTGGGTCCAGCCCTCCCCTACCACGAGGACAGCCTCAGACCCAACACCCTGGTGCGGGAAGTGCCCCTGTCCCCACCGTACCCGCTCAGTTGCCTCAGAGAGGACCCGGAACACTACCAGATGCACAGAGGGCTGGAGGGAGGGAGGGGCCGGGAACAGTGTGCAGTGTGGGAGGGAGGGGCGGGGGCACCCTTGGAAGGCAGAGAGGAGACCAACTAAGCTCTGACTCACCCCTCGTTCTGTCTTACCCCCTCCCTCAAGGAGGCCGCCCTGCGCCCCATTTTACAGAGTGGGAAGTGAAGTCTGATGTCTGACAAACTAGGCCCAACTCTCCGGGCTTCCGCCACAGCCCCTCTCCTCTCCTGGGGCTGTCCCCAGGGGCCAGCATGGTGCCGGGCACCTCTCCAGAATGTGGACCCTGGCCCCAGCCGGGGCACAGTCCCAGTCGCCCCTGCGGCGTCCCCGGCCTGCCCACCGCTGCCGCCTCTTCGACTTTCTGGAGCAGATTTACCGTAACGTTCACACTCTGAACAGAAAACTCTGCCTCATTTACAAATGTAATTTCAATTGAGGGTAGTTTTCCAATCTCCTTTCATTGGAGTCCCAATTGAGCCCCTTCTCGCGGTGCTGATGGCATGATTAGACAGTGTGCGCGCGGAGGCAGATTAGTCAAGCGCGGCCCCGTAAATTGGGAAGGATGTTTTATCAGGACACGTCGCTGTGCTGCAGGCAGCTGTGGGGTGCTCTGGGCTGTCCCCTCAAATCACGGTTATGGAATAATTTAGCCCGCGATTCTCTGCGATTACTGCCGCCACTGATCATGCTGTCACTTTCCGAGTGAGCACTTCATCCTGCGTTTATTCATGCCAGATCTGTTTTGCTTTTGTAATGAGCACATATTACCCCGGCACAAAGAGGATGAAGGCAGCCGCGTGATAGATAGGCGCGAGATTAAATGGGATCTTTATGACTTCTGCAGCCATCAGTTCTGACTGTGTGATAAGACGCGTCGACTAGGGCCCTGATTTGCTCTTTATTGGAGCCAATATTAGCATGCTCTCACCAGTGCACGGGCCGATCAAACCCACTTAAGGTGGACTCACCGCATAGGCCCAGCTGCAGATGCTGCTGGGATGGCCAGGAGGGAGGCTGCAGCCCACAGCCGGGCAGGTGGGGGGTGTGGAATTCTCACACTGCCCTGGGGCCACTTCACCCCGGGTGGCTTGCAGGGGGTCCCGGGGGTGAGGTGCCCCTGGTGACCCCAGGCTCAGTGGACTGTCCTGTATGCCTGGGTCTCAGGGTGGCCCTCTCCCTTCCCACCCCTTATCAGGCCTCCAAGAATGATGGCTCTCCCAACCCATGCTGGGGACCCAGCAGCCTCCTCATTCTGCCCCCAGCTCCTGCTCTCTGGCAAGGAGGGAGATTGGCTTGTTTAGGACCCCAGGGGTGCCAGGCCATTTCCTGGGTGGGGGCAGTGTCCAGCACCTTCCTCTGCCACTCAGTATCATGGAGACCCCTCCCTCCCCCTGCTGGACAGCCGCCACCTGTACTCAGCTTCGGGCAAGGCGCTCCCCGTCCTGCCTCTCTGTCTTCCTGCCATACCTTCAGCAACCCCCTTGACAGCCCCCCTCCCAGGCCACCCCTCTGTCAGGGGCACTGCCTGTGCCTGTCACTGCCTTTCTTTCCCCTGGTGTGGCCCCTGCCAGACCGCAGCCATCTCCCCTGTCAAAGTCTCCTAAAACTCAGACTGGATGATCTGCATCCAGTCTGCACCTTGGATGATGCCAAGTGGAGATTGGATGATGCCAACTCGGGCACAGGGTGGGATGGGGTAAGGTTGGGGGCCAGAGAGACTTGGGGTGTGGTGGAGCCCTGGACCTGAGTCCACACAGCATCCCATCCTGTGGCTGCGCTTTCTCCTGAAGGGGCTGCCAGCCCTCCTCAGGGACTGCAAGCACAGCTGGGTATGTCCCATGCAGTCAGCCCTGCCGGGTGGCCCCCAGCTGCCTCTTCCCCCAGCAGGGCATGGGCAGGCAGTGGGCACTCAGGGGGTAGCTGGCTTGCTGCACCCTGTCCTCTTGGTGGGCGGATGGGGCCCCTTCACTGCGTGGGGACTGGACTGCTGTCACGTGCCTTTAGATGTGCAGGTTGCTTCTGTGGCCACCTTCTGTGAAGGAGGCCTGTCACTCATCCACCTGGCACATTTTTAACCTCAATGTCATGTGTTGACACCGAGGGAGGCAGAGACCATGAAAGCTTGCCATAGCCGAGGGGTTCGGGCAGCCGGTCCGTCCGGGGAGGCCCAGCAGCCTGGCACACAGGGCGTGGGCCCTCCTGCCAGAGACAAGCTGAGCCTGCCGCCCGCTGACCACCTGCCGTCCAGCCAGCCCCACCCACCGGCTCCAGGCCCACCTCCTGCACCTGTCCAGGCCTCGCCTGTCTCAGGGGTGCCCGTGTGTGCAAGGCCCCACAGGAGGGGCTGGGACAGAGTGGGGCTGGGGGTCCCTTGAAATGATCCCTTGGCTGAGGGCCACAGAGGAAGAGAGGCGTGGGGGCACCAGAGACCATCTGTGTTTTAAAAGAATGTCTTCCAATCTTCCTCACAGAGGAATCTGAAGAAACGTGCTGGATGTCCCCAGAGAAGGAGCTGAACCATTTGAGTGGGGGCTTCACTGACTCTCCCCACACACAGGGCACCGGGGGAGAGCAGTCACATGACCGGCAGGCGGGGGTTTTGACCCTGGTGGGAGGGGATGAGGAGGGCACCAGTCCGGCCCTGAGACAACCCCCAAGACCAGCCCTGACTGGGACACTCTGCAGGATGTCAAGCAGTGCCCCCAAAAGCTGTCAAGGCCGTCCTAGACCAGCGGGGCCTCAGGAGATGGTGCAGAGTCCTGGACCAGACAAACGGCACTGGGAAAGCAGGAGCCCAAAGGAAGGCTGGAATTCAGGGAAGAGCCACGTGCCAGGCTGTGACGAAGGCGACAAGATGAAACAGTAGGGGGGCGGGGGAGGCATCCAAACTCTATGTGCTGTCTTTGCACTACTCTGTAAATCTAACATTATTCGGAAGTGAAAGTTAAAAATCACTCCGGCTCTGGTGTGCAGTGTGGCTGCTGGGAAGGAGGGGAAGAGTTGGGGATGCAGGAAGAGCTGGGATGAGGGAAGAGCTGAGGGTGAGGGAGGAGCTGGATGAGGGAGGAGCTGAGGGTGAGGGGGAGCTGAGATGAGGGAGGAGCTGAGGGTGAGGGAGGAGCTGAGGGTGAGGGGGAACTGAGATGAGGGAGGAGCTGAGGGTGAGGGGGAGCTGAGATGAGGGAGGAGCTGAGGGTGAGGGAGGAGCTGAGGGTGAGGGGGAGCTGAGATGAGGGAGGAGCTGAGGGTGAGGGGGAGCTGAGGATGGGGGGAGCTGAGGGTGAGGAGGAGCTGAGATGAGGGAAGAGCTGAGGGTGAGGGGGAGCTGAGGATGAGGGGGAGCTGAGGATGGGGGGAGCTGGGAGGGAGGAGCTGGGGATGAGGAGGAACTGCAGTGAGGGAGAAGCTGGGAATTGGGGAGGAGCTGAAATGAGGGAGCAGCTGGGATGAGGGAGGATCTGGGAAGAGGAAGGAGTTGGAAATGAGGGAGGTGCTGGGATGAGGGAGAAGCTGGGGATTGGAGAGGATCTGGGGAAGAGTGAGGACCTGAGGGAGGAGCTGGGATGAGGGAGGAGCTGGGGAAAAAGAGGAGCTGGGATGAGAGAGAAACCAGGAAGAGGGAGGAGTTGGGAATGAAGAAGGATCTAAAATGAAGGAAGAGTTGGGATGGGGGAGAAGCTGAAGGGGTGGGAGGTGTGGAGAGACATTTTAGAGGTGGGAGGCTGTGTGTTTGTGTGTTTGAATGTGTGAGGGTGAATGTATGTGAGTGAATATGTGAATGTGAGTCAATGTGTGTGAATGTGTGTGTGAATGGGTGTAAATGTGAATGTGTGTGTGAAGGAACGTGAGTGAATGTGAGTGTGAATGTGAGAATGTGGGAAAGTGAATTGTGTGAATGTGGGTGTGTGAATGTGTGTGAATGTGAATGTGAGAATGAATGTGTGTGAAAGTGAATTGTGTGAATGTGGGTGTGTGAATGTGTGTGAACGTGTGTGTGAATGTGAATGTGGGAATGTGAATGACTGTGTGTGAGTGAATGTGTGTGAATGTGTGTGTGTACATGTGAGTATATGTGTGAGCAGTTTTGCGAGTGGACAGTGTGTGCATGTGAGCATAGGATGTTTGGTGTGACTGCGTGTGCAGGGGCCTCACCTGCCTCCACAGTGGCTTGGCCACACCTTTTCACAGCTGGGGAAGCTGAGGCCCGGCCCCTCTGGGGCAGGAGTCAGGATTGGTGGTATCATCTGCCCGTCTGCTGGAGCCCCTCCCACCCTCATGCGCCCACCAACCCCCACCTGGCTTCTGCCACAGGTGGTTCGCTCTTTGTGATTTTTAGGCCTCCAGCCCCCTTCCCCCGACCAAGCCATGGATGTCCCCCAGCTGTCCCCACAGGAGTGTGGTGAGGGTCTGCGGGTCTGCATGGAGCCTTAGCTGGGGCTCCCGCCTTGGAAGCTGGGTGGGGGTTCCGTGCCTCCTGCAGGCCCCCCCAACCTCTCCCTTATCACAGCTGCCGAGTGCTCCCGACTCCCCCACCCACCACCCTTAATAGAAACCCATAAATATCTCTACTTGCTAATTTAAAAAGAGACGGGGCTGTTTATGAGCACCCCAAGAATGACATTTATGGGCCTGAAGGTAAGTGATTATTGACAGTAGACAAAGGCCCAGGAGTGGAGGAGCTGGCCCATTCGCTCCCAGAGATAAGGAGAGTGTTTCCTTTTCTCATGCTAATTTCCAACCTGAACTGTACACATTAGAGCAGGGAGGACTTCCCTTTCTTTTCATCTTAAATGTCACTACAAAGCGCTGGGATCCCAGGAAAGAGACGCCAGGACAACACTCCCCTGCCGCAGGAGCGGGGGTGACGCTGTGGCTGCCAGGCGTTGGTGGTGGGGCTGGGATGGGGGACGGGGCTGGGAACTCAGGGTGTGGGAGGCCCCAGGGTGCGGGGGTCTTGTCTCCTCTAGGTGTCAGAGCGCCTGACCCCACAGCTCAGCTCCCAGGCAGAGTGGGCCAGGGACCCACCGTCTTCCTATCTCACCAGGCCTCAGTCCACAGAGTGCTTTAAGAGAAAAGCAGATTAAATGTGTTTCCTTGTCTGTTTATTACATGTGTGTGTGTCAGAAGCCGCTGCATGCACACTTGTTCCAGGGCGAGGAAAATAAGGGTGGCTGCTGCCCTGGGCCTCGGATCAGAGAAGGGTGGGGCAGCCCAGAGAGCAGCTTTCCACCTCCTTGCACGATGCACCCCTTCCACGCTCCCTTCCCCCTGTGCAGGGTCAGGGCTCTAAGAGAAGCAGGAGGTCACCCCCAAGCGGCTTGCTGAGGAGGCCCTTCCGCCTCGTGGGGCCATGGCAATGAAGAGCACACTTGGACCCAAAGGAAAGAGCACTTAGGGTGGCGAGCACAAGCCCTCAACTCCAGGGACACCTTCCTCCTGCCAGCGCCAGGACCTGGAGACGTTCTTCCCTGGCAGCACCAGCACCCGGCACCAGGTCTGGTTCACCTGCCGACCCCAGCCCAGGTGAGGCCCTGCCTGGCTGGAGTCAGGGCTAAGGGAGGTGGAAAAATAGCAGGTGATTCTCCCGGGGAAGCCTGGAAGAAACGGGTGGGCTCCGAGAGGACACAGGCTGGGCAGCCAGCGGCCTGGCCCGGTGAGGCTCAGCCTCAGCCTCTGCTTCCACCCCTGCACTCACAGCTGCAGACACCGTGCTTGGGGCAAGACTGCTAGGCTGGGGTCTGCCAGACCCTCAGTGAGGCGGCCAGCATCCCCCGCTTTCCCTGGGAACTAGGGATGAGGGTCAGAGTCTGCCCCCCATGGCCCTACCCACACTCCTAACCCTTGGAAACCTCTGCTGCACACCTGTGACCTGTGGTGGGTTGGGCACTGCCCTCACCCTGTGGCCCTCCTGGCCCCTGAGGCCCCCACCTGCAGTGCCCCAAGCGGAGAAGGGTGTCCCCAAATGCATAAACACAGGTTCCAACCCGCAGCCTTGCCCACCAAGGCCTCATTGCACATTGTCGAGATTGGGGCATCCTCTTCACCCCCACAGACCCCCCCCCCCCAACTAGTCTAGCCTTAAGCAGCTCCTCCAAGCCCCTCTCAAAGGCCCAGGAGCCCGGCAGGTCTGGTCCCAGGGGCCTCCCCAGCCTCCTTGACCTCCTTAGCTGGGCTGAGGCTGCCTCTACCCGCCTGGGCACCCTCTCTCCTCTCCTGTCTCAGGCTTGCTGGGTCCATTCAGATTTGACACCAGGGCTGTGCTGCTGTGTTGGCCTGGAGTGGACGGGCTGTCCAGGAGGAGCTGCACTCGGCTCGGGGAACTAGGGTTGGAGAAGCCCCTGAGGAGAGAGGACGGGCCGTCATTTGGGGACCCCTGCTGCTGATGCAGGGGTGCAGACGGGCCGTGAACCGCCAGGCCCTGACCTGGTTCTGGGCGTGCACTGGGGGAGCTGTGGAGCCGAGCAGTGTGAGAGGGAGGCAGGTCCCTGAGCGCGTCTCACTGTCCTCACCTGGCACACGTGGATGGTGTCAGAGCCAACCCGTGTAGATGGATAAGCCACCTCGTGGGGGTGCCAGACGAGGACCCAGCTGCTCTGTTGCTAGGCACAGGGCCCTGGCCTTCACTGCACGGCCGGCACCGAGCCCAATGCCAGGCACATGGAGGGTGCTCAGCCCACCCTGGCCGGGCCACTTCCTTTGTCCCCTCTGGATCCCTGTGTTTGTTGAGTGGCTGAATGACCCACTCTGTGTGATGTCTGAGGACTGAGCCACCCCTCTGGCTAAACACTGTCCGCACACTTCCAGGCGTGAGTTAGGAATTCCGTGCCCTTGCACCCTCTTCCTACCCAGGGTCAACCCCCCTCACAGCCCCACAGGTGTCCAGAACCCAAAGTTCTGTGGCCTAAGGAACCCCGCTAGATAAGCCAGGAGCTAACATCCCCGCCTCTCAGTGTCAGGAGCCCCTGGAGTGGGGTTGTGAGCACCAGGCAGATCTGCTGAGGATCTGAGCGGATTCCTCAGCCAGGTGCATCTACCGGCATCTGCCAGCCACAAGCCAGCCATGCGCCCCCTACGCGGGTGTCTCAGAGGTGGCGTGAGCCCCAGACAACGCCCTGGAGCTGGGCTGTGTCCAGGGTTCTGCCTCCCCCATGGCATGTTGCCTGCAACTTCATTTCTGCCCCAAAGTCTCCCCAAGAAAAGCGTGTTACTAATGCCATTGCGCTGCTGTATGAAGCCGGGGGTCTGGGGGTCCTTGGGGTGGGTGAATCTGGCCTCCCGGCTGCCATGGTTTCGGCTCCACAAAGGGCTCCCACCTCGGTATTCTGCTGCCCCACCCTTCCTCCCCCACAGGCAAGGACAGGGCAAGAGGGGTCACCCTGCACAGGCGGAGTGCTCAGTGCTGCCGTCTGGCCCTGCCGCTGGTTCTGGCCTTGCTCTCCTTGCACAACAGGCCCAGCCTCTCTTCATGGGCCTTCTCTTGCCTTTGCCCACACACCCCTGGGATCCAGGGTCGTCTGAGCCAAAAGGCCTTCGAGGTCATCCAAGGTCATCCAGGTCGTCCTGGACCACGGCACCCCAAACTCCCCTGAGCTCCCCAGAGGGCTGCCCAGCCTCTCAGAAGCACAGAGAGCAGCCTGCTGCAGCCCACTCCACATCCTGCAGACTCAGAGCCAGAGGCCGGAGAGACCAGGCGGGCTGTGGGGAGCTGGGCCCTGCCCGGTGCCCTGCAGGCTCCCCAGGACATACTGCCCTTGGCTGCCTACAGACCCACGGCCACACAGGAGCCCCAGGACCAACCAGCTCAGCCTACCAGAGACCTCGAAGCCGGGACAGCAGCTTGCCGGGCCTGTGCCGGGAGGGTCTGCCCGGGACTGCCGTCCATGTTCCGGCTGCGTGCTGCGGCCCACAGCCCCCATGGGGCTCCTGGGAAAGCCTGCCCCGGTGGCTCCACGGCTCTCCCAGCCTCTGGAGGACCCGAGGGCCTGGCGTTTCTCATGCCCCTCAGAGCTGGGTGCGCCGTGGGCGTTGTCAGGCAGCTGGAAAATTGAAGGGCTCGCGGGGCGCCCTGGGAAGTGCGTGGCCGCTCCCTTCTCTTTCGTCCATTTCCCCTCAAACAACTTCCCGGGAAATGGACGCGGATGCTTCTGACAGTGGATGATGGATGGTGCCGCAGAGCCTGCCCAGGAGAGCGCCGCGGGGCTGCGGGTCGGAGGCGGCGCGGGTGGGAGGCGGCGCGGGTGGAGTGGGGTGGGAGGTGGCGCGGGTGGGGTGGGGTGGGAGGCGGTGCGGGTGGGGTGGGTGGGAGGCGGCGCGGGTGGGGTGGGTGGGAGGCGGCGCGGGTGGGGTGGGGTGGGCGGGCCGCCCCAGGCTGTCTGTGGGCTGCATGGGAGAGGGTGGAGTTGGGATGGGGGCGCTGCTGGAGGAAGGACCCGCAGAATGAACTGTGCAGTCGTGGGGAGTGGGCCCTCCGGACACTCGCTGTGGGGACATCCCTGGCTGGCTTGGACCCTGCCCCATTCTCCAGCTGAGACCCAGCCCGCCCATCACCTCGCCGGGCCTCGGCTTCCTCATCTGTAAAATGGGCCTGTGCTTGCCCTGCACCGTGGCGGCGTGAGCTCCAGGAGGTGCTGCTGGGCCGGAGCCTGGTGCACAGAAGGGAGCTCCCGCGGGTGGTGTGCTGGTCGCTGGGAGGCCTCAGGGTGTGCGGGCCCGGCCTGCCCCGGCTGGGAGACTTCCACCTTAAGGTGTGAGGAGCCCTCCGTGGCCGAGTTCTCCTCCGCCCCCGCCGCCCTGGTGACAAATACTAATGTCTAAATCAGCAGCCGCAGGCCGCCGCCTGCCGTGTTCTTTGCTGAAATGTCACCTGTTCCTATCTAACGATTTGCATAATGCAAACCTTCTCACTCGTAAAATACAGATTAAGAGGGGAAGCCGGAGTCATTCTGGAACCAGGGAGCCATTTCAAAGGGAACGAGGAGGGAGGCCTGGGAGGCGCCGTGCTCTTAACCCCGTCCCTGCCGGCCCTGCCTGCACCTCCACAGCCGGTCTGGCCTAACACACTGGGGCCGAGCTGGGGTCAAGGTTGATCCCATGATGCTGGGCGGGTCCAAGCTGTGGAAGGGCGGGGCGTGCTGCCCAGCCCTTCCCCTGGTCGCACGTGTGGACGGCTGTGTCCCCCATCCCCTTGCACCTTCCACCCATGTGTGGAGGGGAGGCTGGAGGGGCCGGGGGCCCTGGGCTGGGGCTGCTCCTGGTAGGTCCTTGGGGGCCTTTCGGGCTGTCCTGGCCCCAGGTGTTTTAACGATGTGGCCTCAGGCCGAGGAGGGACCCCGAGCCCAAGTCATGATTAGGGGTTTCTCCAGCCCCCCAAATCTGGCTGGGTGTGTGGTCTCAGCAAAGGGGGAGCAGGTGCTGAGGAGAGAGGAGATCCCAGGACTCTGCTGGGCACAGGGGGCGTGGCCAGGGCCACCCCTTCAGCCTGGGTTGTGGGGCCATGGCCAGCTTCTGGGCCGGAGGAGGGGGCAGAGGTCCTGAAAGTCCCTGGTGGGGGATGGCGGGGGACAGGGCTGCTGCAGGGGGTGGGAGGGGAGCTCAGAGGATGGGGCCTCTCTTCCGGCAGGAGGCGAGGCTGCTCCCCGCCCTGCGCAGCGAGGAGTGGGTGGGCCTCACGCAGCCCCAGGTCCTTCATGCTGCAAAGCCAGCACCCGCCCGCCGGTCCTGGACCTTGCCCCCTCCCTCTCTCCCTCCACTGGTCTGCCCTCCACCAGTACCGGGTACCACCAGCCCTGCTCCTCCAGCTGCCCTGGGAGGGTCTGGGCTCTGGCAGGGTGCTGGGGAAAGGGCTGCACACATCTGCAGATCTGAGCCCGCAGGGTGGGATGCTGTGAAGCCTGGGACTGCAGCGGAGTGAAGGTAGAGCCTGAGCGGCACCAAGGACAGGGAGGCCCCGATGACTCAAGGGTCAGGAGGAGAGGCGAGAGAGCCGAGGCTGCAGCTGATGTGGAAGGGCAGTGGGTGCCTGACCTGACGGGGGTGGGGGGACCCCCTGGCCCAGCCCCTGCTCCAGGAGGGTCACAAGGGAGGGGCTGACTTACAGGCCTTCCCTGTGGAGAAGAAGAGAGACCTGGGGCTGGACCTCCCCAGGAGCCCCCCTCTGTGACTCCACCCAAAGGGAGCCCCGCTCACCTGGAGCTACACCCAACCTGTGACTCCCGCCAAAGCCACACCCACCTGAAGCCACACCCACCCGGAGCCACACCCACCCAGAACCACACCCACCTGTGACTCAACCCATATTCCCGCTCACCTGGAGCTACACCCAACCTGTGACTCCCGCCAAAGCCACACCCACCTGAAGCCACACCCACCCGGAGCCACACCCACCCAGAACCACACCCACCTGTGACTCAACCCATATTCCCGCTCACCTGGAGCTACACCCAACCTGTGACTCCCGCCAAAGCCACACCCACCCGAGCCCCACCCACCTGGAACCACACCCACCTGTGACTCCAGCCATATTCCCGCCCACCTGGAGCCCCGCCCCACCCAGAGCCCAGTCCACCGGGAATGCTGTTGGTGGGAGCCTTGCCCCTCTGCCTGCCCTGCAGCTTTCCTCTGATCATGGTCCTGGGGAGTCTGGATTTACCAGCTCCCAGCATTCATCTACACCTTCCCTCACCTCTCCCGGGAGAGTGGACGCCTGGGAGCCTCCCCTGGTGCTCCTGGGCACCGTGGCATTCTCATCTCCGCATCGGCAGCACTGCGTCTTTAGCGGTGGCTCTGCGGGGCCCGCTTGGTGCCGCCTCCATGTCAGCTCAGGAAGCGCTGGCAGCCCTGTGGTTGGTGCCACCCTTTTCTTGGCGGGCTCCAGCACAGACAGCATCTGTGTCTGATGCCCACGAGACACAAACACAGACTACCCCTGGGATCCGCCGAGCCTCCCCCTCTGCAGGTGGGGCGCCCGCCTCCCCGCCGGGGACGAAGGGGGTCATTGCCTCCCCCTCTGCAGGTGGGGCTCCTGCCTCCCTGCCAGGGACGAAGGGGGTCATTGTCCTGGATCTGAGGTCCTTCTCAGTGCCGTGGGACCTCACACTGTCCCCTACCTGCCTCTACCGCAGTCCCCAGGGACGGATGGAGGAGGCTGGCGTGCACACACATGACCTAGCGTTCTGGCTTCTCTGTACTTGGAGAGCCCAGTTCTGCCCCTCTGCTGGATGCTCTCTACCGGCAGCAGGCGAGCTGTCTGTCCCCATGGGGCACCTGCGGGGCCACACCCTCGCTCTGCCTGGGCCTGTGGACATCCTGAAGCTGGTTTCAGCAGTCTCACTGGACACCAAGAACGACATTCCTAAACCTGGGTTTAGGAGTGTCTAGCCATGGGGTCATTAGGTTGAGCCACAGCCAACCTGCCTGCACAGGTTTGATTTATGGCCAAGAGACTGAGAGGGCCCCCTGCAGGGTCTTCACCCCACAAGGCCAGGGCCAGGCCTGAGAACCCAGGATCCCACCCACATAGAGGCCTCTGTCCCCTCCAGGGGCAACCTCACCTGTGTGGGTGTGTCCCCACCTGGAGGAGATGCTAAACCTTGCTAAACCTTGGAGCAAGTCTCAGGCCCCAAATTACTCCCCCTACCCCCATTTCTGGCCCAGCTGAGCAATGACCCAGTGCCTGGCTCTGAGCTGATGGTTCTGAGAGACCCCTGAGGAGCAGGGGTGTTGAGTGGCTTTCATGTCGGGAGCTGCTGTCACTGACCGCCCTGACCTCTTTCGAGGCTGACGGGGCCACGGGGTTTTCCAGTCTGAGCTTGCAGGGGAGTGGCCTCGGGGGTAGACAGAGGTGAGGACGAGGGAAAGGCTGTGAGCAGTCGGGTGGGGCAGGGCCCCTCACTGCTCATCCATCATTCACCCGCCTTGCCAGAGGGGCCCAGCCTTGGCAAGGTCAGGGTCCTGCCTACCGAGAGCAGACGTTCTGGGGACTCCGACCTGCACCCAGGCAGCTGCCGAGAGTCCCCCAACATGGAGGCCCAAAGAACAGCCAAGGATGACCCCACGTGGGACCCAGGGAGCAAGGCCAGGGTCCCCAGGACTAGGAGGCCTTGGACAGGGCTTGGCCCCACAGCTGGGGAGGATGATGCTGGCTCAACTCCCAGAGGGACGCCAGCTGAGGGAGGTTGTTGAGCTGGGCTGCGGAGGGGTCTGCGTCGGCAAGCAGGCCTGGCATGCTGGGGAGCTGAGGGGCAAGGGGAGCGCCTTTGAGGGCCCCCAGCCCAGCCAGCTGCATCTGCAGCCTCCCCCATCCTGCCCCTCACTCTGGCCTCTTAGACCACCGACCCCACAAGGCCCCCTCCTCAGCCATCAGCAAAGACAGGCTGGCTGGTCCTGCTCCTTCTTTAAGCACCTTCCCCTGACCTGCACCCCCTGCCCTCCTCCCTGGCACCCCAGCCCACCCCCTTCCCTTGGAGGGGCAGCCTCCACGGCCCTCCCGGACCCACACCGAGGGGGCTTCTGTCTGGTCACCATGGGGACCTTATTAAACCTCGGGGGCAAGTCTCAGGCCCCAAATTACGCCCCCACCCGCAACGTTATCTGGCCTAGCTGACGTCTCCTTCCTCCTGCAGACACCGCACAGCTCCCATAGCTCTGCCTCTCCATCAGCCGTCTTCTCACAGCCTCTTCCTGGTCCCCTCCCTGCTCCTCTTGTGTCATTCCCACACACACCTGTCCCGCCGCCCGCTCCGCCTTCTCAGGGTTGCTGCCTGAGGCCACATAGCCTCTGGGGTCCTGCCCCTCCCCTGCTCAGATCCCCACTGGCAACCCTGTGCTCCAGAAGCCTGCTGACCCTCAGGTGTGCGCCTGTTCCCCCTCAACCATTCTGCTTTGTGTCCCTGGGTCCCACAGGCAACCAGTTAGCCTTCCAGCCCTCACTCCAGTGCCAACGGTGGTGCAGGGCACAGGGTGGGTGCCCTTAAGCCTAGTGCAGTGACCAGGGGCACCCCAGGGCTGGGGCCGCCGGGACCATCCTCCCTGGGGCTAAGTCACCCCAAGTTCTGGGCCTGGATGTGCTAGGTGCTGGGGAGAGTGGGGGCAGAGGGTGCCACACAGGTCACTCCTGCCTCCACCGTAGGGGCTGGGGGTGCAGCCCTGAGGGTGGCCGGGAGGCGGAGATGGGGAAGGGCCAGGCCTCCAGCTGCTGATAAAGCTTCATTAATGGCCTCTCGCTAATGAGAAAGCCGAGCTGATTATGACAAATCGAAGGGGGCAGGGGCTAAGTGGAGACACCAGAGACACCCTGGGGCAGGGGTGGGGGTGGAAGGGTGGGCAGGGTGGAAGGGAGAGGTGGTTCCCAGGCTCCTTGCTCCTCCAGTGCCCCCACCCTGGCCCTTCACCTGCCCAAATCACCACCCACCTCCCCACGCCAGCTCTCCAAAGTGCATGGGGCCTGGGCAGCAACGGGTGGGGTCCCTAGGGGTGACTGAGTGAACTGTTTCAGGCTTTTCTGGGCAGGACAGGAGGAAGGGCGGTCCTCGGCTTGAGGCTGGGATGGGGGTGCATGGCTTGGATGGAGACTCGGGGGCCTCTAGGGCTGCAGGGAGGACGGGCCAGGCAGGTGAGGAGTTGCCCAGAGACCCCGGGCCCAGCCATGGGGTTGTTGAGGACACCTTGAACCACCCTAGCAGAGACAGCCAGGCCAAGGCTGGGGCAGGGACCATGTGGGCAACACTCACCCCGTGGGGAGCTGGCCCCGTGGTCTCTGGCTTGGGCAGGGAGGCACAAGCTCTGTGCCTCAGTTTCCCAAGAGTACCCCAGGTAAGAGGCCCATTTCCTCCTCTCCTTCAGTCCAGGAGGTGTCTGGCTTAGGAGACACACAGTCCTGGGTCTGCAGCTCTGGTGCCCCTTGTCCCTCTCCAGGTCCTTGTCCCTGTATCCAGGACCTCAGGTGCGGGGTCTGCTTTTTCTGGGAAGCACCCCTAGCTGGGGCAGAGGCAGCTGTCTGAGCTTCCCTTTGCCCATCCGTCCGCCTGTTTCGAGCCTCATTGCGCACCAGACTGTCCCAAGAGCTGGGCGCAGCGGGCAGAGCAGATCCTGCTTTCAACATCCTGGCCTCGGCCCTGCCCACCCACACGGGCCACCCTCCTTCTGCTCGGCCCTCCCCCCAGCAGCCCCTTCCAGACCACTGCCTGTTAGACCTGCGGACCCACACTGCCGTGTCCAGCAGCAGCCCTGGATGCCCTGACACCTCCCTTCCCAAAGCCCATCCCCAGTCAGCTTCTGGAACCTTCTCTCCAGGTTCCCTTCCTGACCACTGGGGTCCTGCCAGCTCTGCCTGCCCATGGGTGCTCTCGCCCGGCCCACGCCAGCCCTGGGCTGGACAGCAGGCGGGAGCCGCAGGATTTGAGGCACCACAGTCCCCAGGCAGCTGGCCTCCTACCATGCTGGGGTGTTATTTAGAGGGTTTGGGGCGAGACGAGAACAGCCTAATGGGGCTGACCATGTGGAAGGACGTCTTATCTGGGCCCGCGCCGGCCATCCATTACCACTAATGACACCGGCCTCGCGCCTCGGCCGCTCTCGGCCAGGTGGGCCACTCTGTCCTCATTGTCCTCTTCCAGGGATGGCCCCGAGACCTGCGGGAAGGGCCTGGGGTCTCCCTATCGTCCCAGAGCAGCAGCCCCACGTCGCGGGCGCCCCGTGATAGATGAAGCATGGAAATTAGTTCCAGAGTTTAACTGATAACCGCAGAGCCCACGACACTCGGTTATGGCAGCTCTAATTGATGAGCTCATTAAGTCCATTATTAGAGAAATTGATTTCAAATAGGCACTTGGAGTGCGCGGGGAGGCAGGTGGAGAGGGAGCGCGGAAGGCAGGGGAAGTCTCGAAATACATAATGAGGCACGTAATGTTATAGGTTTGTTTAATGAAAAGCCTCAACTGCACGCTCGTGGCCGTGTGTGTTTTAAACACCCATTTTATGTACTAATAAAGCTCCCGGCGCTGGGGTCCCTCCTTGGCCCCAGCCCACTGTGCTCCATGGCTGCCCCTAATTAATTAATTAACCCGGGCAAGGCGATCAATGAGTTAGTGGCGCAGAATCGACACTCCCAGGCCGTGGGTTGTTGGGAGGGGTGAGGGAGGCCGGTGGGGCCGGCGGCGGAAGTGGGTACCTGGGCTTCCCATCCTCTGCCCTCTCGGCCTCACCCTGCCTGGCTCGGCCACCCGAGGCTGAGGCAGACCCTGTCCTGGATGGTGGGGACCTGGGTTGCCATGGAGCTGCTCCACCCGGCCAGGGAGAGGTGGCCCAGACCCTGAGGCCCAGGGTCCCAGAACCAGGGCGGGAGACAGTCACGGTGACCCTGACCTGTCTGCTTCAGCTCCAGGGGTCCCTCCCAGCCATGCTCCACAGGCTACCGACGCCCTCCTCTCGGGGCTACAGGGCTCAGTCTGGGATGGTTGTCAGCATCCCCACCCAGCCTCTGTGCAGCCCCAGACCACATGCACCTAGACAGACACACGTAGACACACACAGGTACTCGGCATCCCACATGCAGACACATGTGGACACACGTGGACACACAGAGATACTGACACAGAAATACACAGAATCCCTTACAGAGACACATGGTCACAGAGACACACGCAGACACTCACAGACACGCTACACACACATGACCAGCCCTTCCTTTCTGCAACGTGCTCCGGTGTGTGTCCAGGGCTCTGTGCTCCCCGGCTCCCAGGCCTGTGGCTGTGCCTGCCCTCTGGGTCCTCTGCTCCGAGGCTTGACACCTGCTCTGTCCGGCCCTGGCCTCTCGAGCCGCCTGTGCTGATGACCACTGGCCACCCTCCTGCCGCCGACTCCCAGGCCGTGAGTCCGGAGGCCCCAACATCTCCACCCGGCTGTCCCAGAGGCTTCTCACACTCAACATGGCTGAATCCTAACGATCCCCGATCACTTGCTGCCCAGAAGTCCCCGTACCTAGTGAGGGGTGCCCAGCCTTCCAGGCCCCGCCATGGGCCCCGCAGCTTCTCCCGGCCCCTTCATCCCATAGAGGTTCCCATGGCTGCACCATGGAAATGCACAGAACCCAATCCCTCCTCATGCTGCCTCTCGGCTGCCCGGGTCCCCTCGGCGTCCACCCCATCGCTGCAGCTCAGCAGCCATTGCGCAGAACAGACCCCTCTGGCCTCCAGCCCGTGGCCACGATGACCCTGGCTGTGCCTCCCACACCAGGTGCTGTGGCGAGGGCCTCCTGCTGTCCCCTGTCTGGAGCCGCTCCCCAGGTGACCGTGCTCCCTTCGCCCAGCCCTTCCCGCCTTGTCCCACCTTCCTCCACGGTGGTCACCTTCACCTGGGGTCCCGCGTGCATCCCGTGGACCGACTGCCACATCCGCACTAGGACGCAGGCTCCACAGGGCATGGTGACATCTGTTTTCTTTTTCCTCCGAGGCAGCCCAAGTCCCCAGAACAGTGTGGGGTGCCGAGGAGCTCCGCCAAGTTCAGGAGAGAACAGATTCGTCTAACTCATTTAGCCGCACAGCAGGGAGTCAGGAAACAGCGACCGCTAACACAACAAGAAATGACGCATTTTGCAGTGGATACGATAATTAAAATGGTGCTGGAGCCATGCACAGCTGAGCTGGGCCCGGTGTGCAGGCAGCTGACGCAGGGCGCTGAAAAACAGAACAAACCTACGAGTCTGTCGGGTGACTCGACAGGGGCCGCGCCTGAAGACCGGGTGACCGAGGCGGTGCGGGAATCCGTGGCCCACGGCAGGAGGCCGCTGCCATGTCCTAAGGCTGCCGGGGTGAAGCTGGAGTTGGGGACGCAGAGTCAGGCCAGGCTTCCTAGAAAAGGAGGATCAAGAAGGAGGCACCTGCCAGCGGGAGCCGAGGTGAAGAAATGCCACCCAAGACAGATGTGGAGGGGTCCAGGCCCCCAATCCCTCTGGGCTGCGGCCAGGGGCTCCCTTGACCGGACCCAACCAGAGGGCAGTGGTCGGAAGCCTGGGAGCAAGGGTGAAGGGTCAGTCCCAGCCCCAGGGCAGAGTGGCCGATGTGGTGGGGTGGAGGTGAGAGGCAAGGCAGACGGCTGGCACAGCCATCGCTGCACGGCGGCCCAGGCCCACATCTGACTTCCATGTGACCGGGCCCCAGGTGGCTGCCTAGGACACTGCAGCTCTCCCCGAGTCCCCACCCAAGACGGAGACCCTGGCTCCAGCCACCCCGCAGGCACCACGCAGGGGTAAATTCCGTGTGACATCACCTGGGCTTTCTGTAACCCATAGCTACGGTGCCAAACACCACAAATATTTAAAAAGTAAGGGTAGGCTGGGCATGGTGGTGCACGCCTGTAATCCCAGCTACTCGGAGGCCGAGGCGGGAGAATCGCTTGAACCTGGGAGGCAGAGGCTGCAGTGAGCTGAGATCGCGCCACTGCACTCCAGCCTGGATGACAGGGGGAGACCCTGTCTCAAAACAAAAAACAAAAAACAACAACAGCAAAAAACCAGTAAGGGTAGGAGAAAGGGTAAAAAGACGTAATTGCATTCATGAGATGGCTGGATTCGTGATGACGACACGGGCACCCCCAGCTCCATTTCTGTGCTGTTCACGAGGCCAGCTGGCGCGGTTGCCTCCCGCCATCTCCCAGGGTTCCCTCGTCCTCCTCAGGTGGCCCGGCTTCCTCCTCCCACGGTGCGGGGAGGTTGTGGCATCTCAGCCTCATGGGATCAGGCCACCACGGAGTCTAGGGTCCAAGTGAACTCCAAGAGGCACCTCCAACTGCAGGAGTAGGAACATTCAGCCCAGACCTGTCCCCCTTGGTGTGACACCCTCAGAATCCACATTCACGCTGCTTCCCCATGTCCCTGCATGGTCTCCTGTCCCTCAGGCTGTGTATTCAGAGAATACAGGACAGTTTCCTTCTGGTCGTGGGGAGGGCAGCCAGCCGGGGGTGCTGGCGTGGGGGTAGCACGGGGGGTGGGTCCCTTCTGATAGGGGAGGGGCAGCTTCTGCTGCCAAGGGAGACTCACGGGGACCCGGGGCTCAGGGGTTTCCAAGCTTCCAGAATTCATCTCAGTTCATCCAGATCCCATCCCCGTCTCAGGACACACCCCCTAGCCCAAGCCCCACTCCGAATAAAAGTGCAGACAGGGCCAAGCACTGGGTTCAGGCTGTCACTGGAAACCCCAGCGTCACGTCTGGAGCCTGACCTTCAGCCACATCTGTCCTAGGGCTGTAAGGAAGGAGAAGTGGGTTTAAGACCGTGGCGGGGCACAGGGAGGTGCCTCCTGGCTTTCTGACTATGGCTTGGCCTTTTTGCCCTGCACTGCCCTGCCCTTCCTTTCCCTTCCCTCCTCTCCCCTCCCCTCCCCTCCCCTCCCCTCCGCTCCCCTCCCTTCTCCTCCCTTCCCTTCCCTTCCCTTTGCTTTCCTTTTTTCTTCTTTCTTTCCTTTTTTTTTTTTTTTTTTTTTGAGACAGGGTCTGGCTATGTTGCCCAGGTCAGTCTTGAACTCCTGGGCTCAAGCAATCCTCCCGCCTCAGCCTCCCAAAGTGCTGGATTGCAGGTGTGAGCCGCCGTGCCTGGCCTGCCTTGGGCTTTTTATGTTAAGGCGTCTGTGCTCATTGTTGTCCACACATGCAAATATGACTGTGAGGAACCTCGTGAGCCAGGCAGGCATCAGCCAGGGAAACAGTTCCTGTAGGCTCGTGGGGCCTCCCCCTCCGCAGTGTGGCTCCGGGCTGTTCTGAGGCCTGGCGGGGATGGTAGGTGATGGGTGGCCCTCCAGAGGGGACTCGGTGCTTCCCAGCCCCTCTGTCCACCTCCCAGACCAGCTGATTCAGGGTCGGACAGACACAGCCGGCCCGGGTCATGCCGAGGAAAGGACAGGAACCACCCTGCCCATCCCACTGCCTCCCAGTGAGGCGTGAGGCTGAGCCCTGGGAGCACCGTTGGGACCTGGAATTTACCTGGCAGTAACCCAGAATCTCGCAGGAGTCCCTGGCATCGGGTCCGACCCTTTGCTCCAGGTCGTTTTTCACCCTCCTTGCTCTAATGGTCAATTCGATTGAAGAAAGGCCCACGAAGTGCGCACATTGCTGAGACATGGCCTCCGTCACCTTCTTTAATTTTCAGGTCTGAAGACACTACTGCCCGTTGCCGCTTCAAGCCCACTGAGGGCCGCCCCCAACCCTGTGTGTGGCTGTGCAGGGGCTGGTTCTTTGCAGTGTCCGTGGCTGTGGCCAGCGTCAGGGTCGAGCCGTGACCAGGGTAAGTTGAGGCTCTGGAGGGGAGTGGGTGGGTCCGGGCGGTGCAGGGGTAAGTTGAGGCTCTGGAGGGGAGTGGGTGGGGCCGGGCAGTGCAGGGGTAAGTTGAGGCTCTGGAGAGGGATGAGGTGGGGCCGGGCAGTGCAGGGGTAAGTTGAGGCTCTGGAGGGGAGTGGGTGGGGCCGGGCGGTGCAGGGGTAAGTTGAGGCTCTGGCGGGGAGTGGGGTGGGGCCGGGCAGCGCAGGGTCCCTGTCATCCATCTGTTCACTGTGTCCTCCACTCCCAGGCCCCGTGTGGAGACAGAGACAGATGGCAGAAAAGCGATTTACAATGTGGCCTGTTCTATTTCCAATTAAACCACAGACATTAGTTAATATGCAGGGCTGGGAATCTCGGGCGGAGATCATGTGCAGATAGCTCTATAAAACTCTGCTAGGAACAAATAATTTTGCACAAATTTGCAAACAGCATGGTTTTTGTAAATAACCGTAATCTTTCTACCAGCGCTGGTGCCGATTATGCGTTTTTCCTCATGATAATTTAATGATGACCTAATTTACCTACTGTTGCTGGGCGTCCGGTGCAGCCGATGGCGTTGTCCAATGTGGTCCCAAATCCATCCTGTTGGCTTTACCTCATATTGACCAAGTGTTTACAAATTGAGCTTTTTCCCCCTCCTTATGCCTGACAGTTAACTCCGCTAATGAGCCCGCTGCTGACGCGGCACCGGCCTGCCGGCCCGGGAGTCTCGGCCGCCTTCGCCTGTCCTGAGCCCATCCTGAGCCCGTACTGAGCACAGCCCCGGCGTCAGCATGGGCTGGCAGGAGGTGTCTGGCCTGGGTGCCGCCCGCCCCGGAGAAGAGGAGGGGGCAAGGTGAGGCCAGGAGAGAGGCAGGGGGTGGGGCCGAGGAGGGAATGAGGAGGGGGCCCGGGAGCTGGTGCAGTGTAGGGAGGCTGCTCAGAGGAAGGCGTGACCTGAGGCTGGGTGGGGCGGGCTGGGGACTCCGGGTGAGGTGCGGTGTGGCCGGGGGAGTCACAGGACGGCCCCCAGGGGAACTTGCTCTGGGGCTGTGGAATGAATACCACGGGCAGGGGTGGAGCTTAAAACAGCAGCATGCTTTCACGGTCTGGAGCCCAGAAGCCACCTGGAATTTACCCGGCACCAACCAGCATCACCAGGGGGTACCTGGTACTTGCCCCATGGCTCCCTCTGAAGGCTTGGAGCTCCCTCCTGCCTCCTCCAGGTCCAGGGGCTGCGTCAACCCTCGGAGTGCCCTGGCTTGGAGCGGCCACTCCAGCCTCTGCCTCTGTTTTCCCCAGCTGCTCCCTGGCACCTCTGTGTTCCTTCTCAGGAGGACACGGTCATTGGTTGGGGACCTGCCCTTATCTGGGAGGGTCTCATTTGCACCTTACCTCAGCCACATCTGCAAAGACCCTTTTTCAGATCACGGTCGGGAGTGCGGGCTTCAGGGATCTGCATGGAGGCTTCCCTCCCCAGGTTCACTGTTCTGTGGACGCGGAGGCTTCCCTCTTCGTGGTCACTGTTCTGTGGACGCGGAGGCTTCTCTCCCCGGGGACACTGTTCTGTGGACATGGAGGCTTCCCTCCTCGTGGTCACTGTTCTGTGGACACGGAGGCTTCCCTCCCTGTGGTCACTGTTCTGTGGACATGGAGGCTTCCCTCCCCGGGGTCACTGTTCTGTGGACGCGGAGGCTTCCCTCTTCGTGGTCACTGTTCTGTGGACGCGGAGGCTTCTCTCCCCGGGGACACTGTTCTGTGGACACGGAGGCTTCCCTCCTCGTGGTCACTGTTCTGTGGACGCGGAGGCTTCCCTCCCCGGGGGCCACTGTTCTGTGGACGCGGAGGCTTCCCTCTTCGTGGTCACTGTTCTGTGGACGCGGAGGCTTCCCTCTTCGTGGTCACTGTTCTGTGGATGCGGAGGCTTCCCTCTTCGTGATCACTGTTCTGTGGACATGGAGGCTTCCCTCCCCGGGGTCCACTGTGTGGACTGCTCGGGTGCCGTAGGCAGTGGCTGCCTCCGCTGCTTAGAGAAGTGGGAAGGACGGTCTGCAGAGAGAGACAGGACCCAGGAGTGAGGCCAAGAGGGAGATAGGCAGAGGCAGAGGCTGCAGGCGAAAGGACAGGGACAGGGAGGCCGGCGTGCAGGAAGTGTCGGGCCAGCCCGGACTGGTCCCCACCAGGAGCACCCTGCCAGGGCTCTGTGGCTCCGAGATTTCTCCCAACAGATTTGCTTCTCTGATCAACGGTGGTCGGAGGCCCAGAAAGAGACATGGGGAGCCTGGCTTGGGAGGTCCCCACCAGCGTCTGGAGGCCTCAGTGTACTCTTCTGTAAAATGGACGAACAAGGACGCCTCTTCCCTGGCGTCTTGGGGAGGGTTAAATGGCGTCATCTCCGTGTGGGACCCGGTGCTGGCCTTTGTCACCATCCCAGGGTCTCAGTCCCTGGGCAGAGAGGCCCCTCCCCCACCAAACTCAGTTTCCAGCGGCGGCTGCTGTGTGACGGTGGGGCCTTTACTTGGTATCCGTGTGCTCGTTTGATATCCGATTCTGTCCTGGAACGCCAGCTCACAGGGCAGGGGCGGCGTGTGCTTCTCCCTCAGCTCGGAGCCCGCAGGCGGTCCACGCTTGTTGACTCTGTGGCAGGTCTAGTTCTGAGCGTCATTGTCACCTGCACACAGCAGGGTGCTTGGATCAGCGCCTGGCCCATGGTTGGCACCTGTGGGCATTGCATTAGCTGCCAGTATTATTCTCTCATTTAATCTTCGCAAGCTCACAAGGGTTTGCTGAGTGGATCAAGGGTCAGAGTGGGGAGTGGGGGTGCTAACTGGACTACCCCAGAACTAGCAGAGCAAGGCTGGGCCGGGGCTGGTGAGGATGGCGGCTGCCTGGGCCATGCCAGGCAGGCTCCATGCCGCAGACCCTATGCTGGGACCCACAGAGTTGTTATTCAGCCGCAGGCATCGGCAAGCGGGGCATAAATAAATGGATGACGGGACGGGCAGGTCGAGGCTGGTGGGGGCCGTGGCTGCACAGGCAGAAGGCGGTCTGGGGGTGGACAGACATGCTCTGGTTGAATAGATGGACGCACGGGTGGCTGGGTTTGGGATTTAGTGGGCAGGTGGGTGCATAGGTGGGTGGGGGAGGAATTGGGCGGGTGGAGACAGTAGTGAGGGGGTGTGTTTGGGAGCCCATGGGTGGGTGGGTGCATGAGCAGGTGGGTTTCTGGGCAGTGGTAGGTGGGCTGGTGCCTGGCGGGGGCCTGGGTACGGCCCGAGGGGCTTGCCCACTGGGCTTCTCCTGGCCTCCCCTGTTGGTGGAAGCCTCAGAGCCGCGGGACCCGGGAGTGGCGCTTTTGTCTGTTGCTTGGAAATAAACAAACCAAAAGAGAGACGCCGGCTGCCCCCTGAGGGCACCTGGAAACCACATACCGAGGTGATGGGGAGACAGACCGGGGGGCTGGTGAGGAGGGGTCCCCGTCAGACAGGTCAGACAGAGGGTGAGGGGTGGTTGCTGGGGTCGGGGCGAGGCAGCCTCATAGGCATTGAGTCCCAATTGCGCATGGGATGTCAGGGGCCTGTGGGGTCTGGGCCAGGGAGAGACCTGGCAGCCGGGGAGGGAGTGGCCTGGCAGCCGGGGAGGGGGTGGGAGCTGGCTCTGAGGGGGGCAACTGAGTGGGCTCCCTGGAGGAGGAGTGCCTGCAGGCCAGGGGGCTGTGGGTCATGGGGGCTCAGGGGAGAGCGATAGCTATGTCTGAACAAAAGGGTGGAGGCGGCACAGACCGGAGATCTCAGAGGAGGCATGGCGTCCCACAGCTGCGGAGGTGCAGGGCTGAGACCCCGGCAGGCCTCGTCGGGCGGCTGCCCATTCTCTCCAGGAGCCCCGTGGTGGGTGCGTCGTCCAGGCCATCCTGCTCAGCTTCGTGGACGTTGCACGCCATGCTTGCACCAGCTGGCGGGGCTGCCCCTCTAGCATTCTTTCCCAGGCATCTGGGCTGGGGGGCGGTGATGTGGAGAAGGCATCATTGAAGATGTTGTCGGGCCTGTGGGTTTCTTCCCTGCATCCCCCGGGCAGGCAGCTCACGCCATCACCCCAAGCCGTGCTGTGGAGGAGAGGAGCCATGGGTGCCTGTGAAGGGGTTGTTATTACACCGCCCTTGAAAACAGTCCCGTTATCAACTCTTCCACTCAATGGTTATGCCAGCAGCATTTATGTGCGCTGGTGACGGGGGCCTCGAGGCTCAGTACCGCCTGGCAGCCCTGGAGCCTCGGACCGGGTGCCCCGTATTCTCCTCGGCTAGATTAGGCCCCAGTGCCATCCTCCAAGCACCGAGGGCTTCCCGGGCCCCTTCCCAGACCCCGCCCCCCAACCTGCTTCCTTTTGCTAAAAAGCTAGATTTTTCTACTATTTGTGCTGCTTTTAATCCATAGGAAGTCAATTTTCCACTCATATATTAGTTTATTTTATATTTTCAAATTGATTCGACTATGCATTGATTTCCTGTTGTGGGCATTGTGTCCTGAGCCGGGATTACGCGTTTCGGAGAAGTGGATACTCGTGGCACATAAAGGTGCTTCTACGCCACAGAGCTCTTATCTTGAAGAGGGAGAGTCCAATTTTATTGAAACAGCTAAAATCCCACTTAATTGAATTTTTTTGCTCTAAGATGTACAAGCTTAGAGACGTTTGCTTTCCAATTCAACTCAGGCTCCGTGGTGTTTAAATTTCCAAACCCATAAAGACCTTTATGAAAAAGACCCTACAAATATTGTATTTCTGAGCGGGCGCGTCGGTGAGCACCCGGGTGGGAGTGGGGAGGCATCCGTGCCCTTGGACAGCCTTTGATCCTGCGGAGGGGCCCCGGGCGCTGGCTCCTGGACGGTGCCTCCCCTGGACCGCTCGCTCCCTTCCTTCGGGCCAGGCAGTTTCCTCTCCCCGCTGTGCTCGGTGGCCTGGGCTCTGCGGCTTCCTTAGTGGCCTTTCTGGGCGTCGCGAGGGTGCTGACCCCACCCTTGCCCCCACCCTTGTAGTGGCCGGGCCAGGTGGCCCTCATTCGTCAGGGACTGGCCCTGGCTGCCCGGTGGCTGAGCTGGGCTTTGACCCTGGCCACTGGCTCCCAGGCCCTCTCCCCTCACCTCCCACTGACTCTCAGGGAGGAGAGAGGAGAGGGGGTGAGCAGGCCGCACTCAGCGCCCAGCTCTCTGGAGCTGCTAGACGAAGCCTCCTGGACAGCAGCCTCTGCCACCGCTCGGCCCAGGCCATGCCCAGGGCAGGGGTGTGGCCAGTGTGTGTGGGGACCTGGGTCTGGGCGGGGTCTTCACTGCACCTGCCCTGGGCCTGGGCTCCAGGCCCACCAGTCACAGCTGGGTGAATGAAGGGGTGCCTGAGAGTTGGGGACCCTCTGTCTTGGGGTGTCTTAGGTGAGTCTGGGACCCTCTGTCTGGGGGTATTTCTCAGGTGAGTCTGGGACCCTCTGTCTGGGGGTGTCTTAGGTGAGTTTGGGACCCTCTGTCTGGGGGTATTTCTTAGGTGAGTCTGGGACCCTCTGTCTGGGGGTATTTCTCAGGTGAGGCTGGGACCCTCTGTCTGGGGGTATTTCTCAGGTGAGTCTGGGACCCTCTGTCTGGGGGTGTCTTAGCTGAGTCTGGGACCCTCTGTCTGGGGGTGTCTCTGAGGTGAGCTTGGGACCCTCTGTCTGGGGGTGTCTTAGGTGAGTCTGGGACCCTCTGTCTGGGGGTGTCTTAGGTGAGTCTGGGACCTTCTGTCTGGGGGTGTCTGTTGGGTTGGCTGAGACCCTCTGTCTGGGGGTGTCTCTGAGGTGAGTTTGGGACCCTCTGTCTGGGGGTGTCTCTGAGGTGAGTTTGGGACCCTCTGTCTGGGGGTGTCTTAGGTGAGTCTGGGACCCTCTGTCTGGGGGTATTTCTCAGGTGAGTCTGGGACCCTCTGTCTGGGGGTGTCTTAGCTGAGTCTGGGACCCTCTGTCTGGGGGTGTCTCTGAGGTGAGCTTGGGACCCTCTGTCTGGGGGTGTCTTAGGTGAGTCTGGGACCCTCTGTCTGGGGGTTCTTAGGTGAGTCTGGGACCTTCTGTCTGGGGGTATCTGTTGGGTTGGCTGGGCCTCCTCTGTCCTCAGGAGGCAACCTTGTCTTGCTCGCTGAGCCTGGCTGCCTCTTGAGTCCTGGAACCCGCTTGGCTGCTCCAGGCACGTGCTGGCCTCATGGGCACCAACCCACATGCAGGGACACAGGCTCCTGTGTGCTCTGCTCAGATGCAGCTCCACCTCCTGCCAGGTGCCACATGTGCCCCCCATGGAGTCATGCCCTGCTGCCCAGGCCCCACCTGACCACATCCAGCCTCCGTCAAGGCCTGGTCCCCATCCCTGGAAAGGCCAGACACTGGGCCGTGACACCCCCTTCCCACCTCCCACCTGCCCACCGGACTCTTTACTGAGTCTGCCCTGGCCTGGGGCCTGAGCACCTGTGGGCTGGGCATGGCCAGGTGGAGTGGACCCTGGGGACCCTAAGAAGCTCCTCCCAGCCTTGAGCGTCCACCCCAGCCATGCCCCTGGGGCTCCTAAATCCCCATGGCCCTTAGACACACTGAGGGGGAATGGTGGGTCCAAGGACAGCTCCTTCCCCCTGGAGACGGGGTGGGGTCTAGGCCTGCTTCACCTCTGGTCCCCTACCCCAGCCTCAGTTTCCCTCTAGCGCCAGGGGCTGGGGCTACACCTCACTCCTGTGGCCGCTGGATTGGTGGTCTGAATGCCAAGCTGGGGCAGACGGGAGCTTGGCCTGACTCCAGGCCCTGCACTGGCCATGGCGCCGTGAGTGGGTGGCCCCCTCAACTGTTGGGGGGGTGGCCCTGCCTCTGGGGACACCAGCCCCCTCTCCCCAGCCTGTACTATCATCTGTTCTTCACGGTTCCTCTGTCTTCCCACCACCTTTGGCCGGGTTCGGAGCCCTCCTGGTGTGCTGGGCCCCGGGGCTGTCCTGCCCAGGCAGTGAGTGTCATTTAGGGGGGCAGGCTGGGGTGGGCAGTGGTGCTGGGTGCCGAAGAAGGCCTGTCTCTCTAGGTGAGGCCTCTCTCTAGGAGTGCTGGGCCGGGTGCAGGGCCAGCAACTCAGGCGTGCACAGCCCTGACCGTTATCCGATGCCTCTTCACACACAGTTGCACAGACGACAGTTTAATGGCGCTTTGTAATGGGAGCTCCTCTGTATCTCTATCCCATGAAAATGGCTAACGGTGATAAGGGAAGGAAGAAATGAAGAGTCTGCAAGGCCCCTGCCCACCTGCTCCTGAGAACACGCTCGCCACCTGCGGGCATCGCCTTTGCTCCCTGTAGCCTCCAGGAGATCTCTGACCCACCAGGGGCAGGGGAGGGCATTGGTGGGGGGCTGGGGGCATACAAGGGGAGGCCGGGGCTGGGCCCAGGGGTGGCCGCCGGCCCCTTCTTCTGTTTCTGGGGTGGGAGGGCTTTGGCAGGGCCCTTTTGGGGTGTGTGGCCCGACCCAGCCTGGGTGGTGCAGCCCTGAGGGCCCGGGCAGTGCAGGGAGAGCCCAGGTCTGCAGCCCTTGAGCAGCAGGTTTCATCATTCATTCATCCATTTAGTGGCTGTTTCCTGAAAAACCTCTGGGACTGCGCCCCAAACCTCCCGAGTCTTAGAGAGTCATGCAGCCGGAGAGTGGCTGCTCCTAGGGCGGGAGTTCAGGGGAGGTGCAGTCAGCTCAGAGTCACCACTGGGCAGTGCAGTCTGGGGAGACTTCCTGGAGGAGGTGGCATTGTCACCGTGCCCCGAAGCATTTGAGCCCCTGGACTCGGGACCCCTCGCTGCCCAGGGGCATTGCCGGCCATCACTCTTCTCCCCGACAGTTTGTGCTGTCCCAGAAGAGCACAGCTGCTGAAATGTGCTCCCCATCTCCCCTGACAAGCTCCACCATCTTGCCCCATCCTCCCCTGCCAGCCCCTCGGGGGCGTGTGGGACAGGACACCCAAGTCCCGCTCCTTCTTGCCCTCAGCATCCCCTCTCAGCTTGTGCACACTAGAGGCTGGATCTGGAGGATGGGGCAGAGAGGCCTCCGGGTCCTGTTGTGGGGACGGCTGGCACCGGCCTTCGGCCTTCAGTGGGTGGTCCCACTGAAGCACGGCCTTCTCTGGCCCCATGCCTGACTGTGAATGGGTGAGGCTCTGAGGACCACAGAGACCTGTCCCTCAGGCCCTGCCCATCCCTCCTGCCTGGGGCTCTGGGGCTGGGTCAGTGAGAGCAGATCAGGCAGTATCTGGGGAGTCCCAGCTCTGCCCTCAACTTGCCCTGAGGTGACAAAGCCTCGACTGAAGGCGAGTGGGACCCACTGGGTCTGCAGTAGGGAAGGTCCAGGCCCGACCACACCTGGGGGCTGTCCCGGCTCTGGCCTTGGCCCAGGCCCCCCCCACCACCCCGACCAAGCTGGCCTTCCTGCCTGCACCCATCTGGGTCTTCTGTGCCCCTGAGCTGGGGCAGTGCCCCCGCCAGCATCCCAAGAACAGGAACGGGCCGCAGAGGACCAGATGTGACTGCACAGGGGCCTGGACGCCAGCTTCTTCCCTCCCGCCTGCTTTCTCACCTGGAACCGTGGCCATCTCAGAGGAAACCCGCCTGTCTCGGGATTTTCTCACCCGCAGAGCGGGGAGGGCCCTCTGGGCTGCCTGCAGTGCACCGTGTGTCCAGCAGGGGGCAAGCGCCCGGCCCCGGAGCCGCAGCAGGGTCCGCTTGGGGCCGCACAGGGTCCTCGCCCGACCTGTGTCTGAACACGCAGGAGCGGCCGGGCCAGGCAGTCCCAGCGCATTTTAATAGTGGAATGTAATTCCTGGGCGGCAGAAAAATGAAAGTGAGAAGTCTATGAATTATTGCAAATGCTCTCGATCTGCTGGGCCGTGCAGCGGGGCCCTGGGCTGCAAAGCCTTTTTTTCTCATGTTTAAGTTGGCGTGGAAGATGAAATAGTCACAGAGACGCAGTGGCCCCTCAAAGCTGTTATTGCCAGCTGTGTGTCTCCTGTAAACACTTTTCTGATTTATAACCTCACTCTGCTTTATAAATGGAAAAACCAGAAACGCCTTCAGGAGCAGCCTTTCACCGCCCAAGAGGCCTCTGCGTCCACACGTGGCCGCGGGGGCAGGGTGCCGAGGCTTCTGGTCAGCCTTCCTTCCCAGGGCCAAGGCCTCCACCTAGGCCTGGCGCGAATGTGGGTCCCGGAAGGGTGACCCACGGTGCCTGTTTGCCTGGGACGGACGGGGTTTCCGGAACTCGGGGAATTCGATGCAAACCTGGCAGGTTCCCGGCAAGCTGCTTCCCTGGACTCTGGCGGTTCTTCTTTTGGTCGACAGATGCTGTGGACGGGTTTTCTGTTTGTTTTGGAAGGAGAGGGGGTACTCAGACATCCGGCGATTGTCTTTGCTGGCCTGTGTCCGAGAGGGGAAGCTGATGCCTGTGGCTGGAGGACCTCGTGTCGTACCTAGAGTCCCCTCAGGACGGCCGACTGCCAGCCATGGGCCACCCGGGAGCTCACCCCACAGCCCCACCTCGGTGCCCACACCTGGGCCAGGTGGCCATGGGGTCCCCAAGCCTCGTGCAGATGAGGGAAGGGACTCGCTGCAGCCTCCATGCTGGCGTCTGGCCTCAGAAAGAGGGCTCAGGAAACGTTGGCCACTGACTCCTGATATCACAGTAACCCAGGGCGGCTGGGATGCTGTCCTGCTCAATGGGGAACTGAGTCACTTGTCCCAAGTCCTGCAGTGACCCAGAACCGTGCAGGTCCAACCCGGAGCAGCAGAGCCCTTGGAGCAGGCGGTGTGGATGGCAGCCCCATCACAGCCAGGATGCGGGGTCAGCTGGGGTGTGGGTTGTCAGTCTCCTGGAGTTGTCTGGGGTGTGGGTTGTCAGCATACTGGGGTTGCCTAGGGTTATTTGGGGAGTGGGTTGTCAGTGTCCCGGGGTTGTCTGGGATTGTCTGGGGTGTGGGTTGTCAGTGTCCCAGGGTTATTTCGGGTGTGGGTGTGGGTTTTCAGTGCCTCGGGGTTGTCTAGGGTGTGGACTGTCGATGTCCCGGGGTCGTCTGGGGTGTGGGATGTGGGTTGTGGCCTGGGGTTACCTGGGGCGATGCCTCCCCTCTCCGGGGCAGGTCTTCGTAACATCAGGAATTTGCAGGCACATGTGTCTGGGTGTTGGGAAGCAAACAGTCTGTGCTGGATTTGCTGTGTGGATTCTTGAATTATCTGGAGAATACAAGCTTCTTGATGAAAAGTGTGATTTTGTGTTATGAACCGGAGAGTCATGGGCTATCAGGCCGGGGGCTGGGTAATGTCCTGAATGGCAGGCGCTGTCGTTTCCAGGAAAGACGATGGTGTGAACGTGCCATTCACCCTTTAGAGCCCGAGGCTCAGGGCCCACACTGAGGCCCTGCACTGCTTCTAAGTCTGCCCAGGATCAAGAGCCCTTGGGCAGGGGGTGTGGGTCCCTGGAGACAAGTTTATCAGTAAAGCAGGAGACCTTGACCGCCAGCTGAGAGCCTGGGGCGGGTCTGGCTGTCCAGCTGAGAGCCTGGGGCAGGGGTCCGGCTGTCCTGCTGAGAGCCTGGGGCAGGGGGTCCGGCTGTCCTGCTGAGAGCCTGGGGCAAGGGGTCCGGCTGTCCTGCTGAGTACCTGGGGCAGGGGTCCGGCTGTCCTGCTGAGAGCCTGGGGCAAGGGGTCCGGCTGTCCTGCTGAGTACCTGGGGTAGGGGTCCGGCTGTCCTGCTGAGTACCTGGGGCAGGGGTCCGGCTGTCCTGCTGAGAGCCTGGGGCAAGGGGTCCGGCTGTCCTGCTGAGAGCCTGGGGCAGGGGTCCGGCTGTCCTGCTGAGAGCCTGGGGCAGGGGTCCGGCTGTCCTGCTGAGAGCCTGGGGCAGGGGTCCGGCTGTCCTGCTGAGAGCCTGGGGCAGGGGTCCGGCTGTCCTGCTGAGAGCCTGGGGCAGGGGTCCGGCTGTCCTGCTGAGAGCCTGGGGCAGGGGTCCGGCTGTCCTGCTGAGTACCTGGGGCAGGGGTCCGGCTGTCCTGCTGAGAGCCTGGGGCAGGGGTCCGGCTGTCCTGCTGAGAGCCTGGGGCAGGGGTCCGGCTGTCCTGCTGAGAGCCTGGGGCAGGGGTCCGGCTGTCCTGCTGAGTACCTGGGGCAGGGGTCCGGCTGTCCTGCTGAGAGCCTGGGGCAGGGGGTCCGGCTGTCCAGCTGAGAGCCTGGGGCAGGGGTCCGGCTGTCCTGCTGAGAGCCTGGGGCAGGGGTCTGGCTGTCCTGCTGAGAGCCTGGGGCAGGGGTCCGGCTGTCCTGCTGAGTACCTGGGGCAGGGGTCCGGCTGTCCTGCTGAGAGCCTGGGGCAAGGGGTCCGGCTGTCCTGCTGAGTACCTGGGGTAGGGGTCCGGCTGTCCTGCTGAGTACCTGGGGCAGGGGTCCGGCTGTCCTGCTGAGAGCCTGGGGCAAGGGGTCCGGCTGTCCTGCTGAGAGCCTGGGGCAGGGGTCCGGCTGTCCTGCTGAGAGCCTGGGGCAGGGGTCCGGCTGTCCTGCTGAGAGCCTGGGGCAGGGGTCCGGCTGTCCTGCTGAGAGCCTGGGGCAGGGGTCCGGCTGTCCTGCTGAGAGCCTGGGGCAGGGGTCCGGCTGTCCTGCTGAGAGCCTGGGGCAGGGGTCCGGCTGTCCTGCTGAGTACCTGGGGCAGGGGTCCGGCTGTCCTGCTGAGAGCCTGGGGCAGGGGTCCGGCTGTCCTGCTGAGAGCCTGGGGCAGGGGTCCGGCTGTCCTGCTGAGAGCCTGGGGCAGGGGTCCGGCTGTCCTGCTGAGTACCTGGGGCAGGGGTCCGGCTGTCCTGCTGAGAGCCTGGGGCAGGGGTCCGGCTGTCCTGCTGAGAGCCTGGGGCGGGTCTGGCTGTCCTGCTGAGTACCTGGGGCAGGGGTCCGGCTGTCCTGCTGAGAGCCTGGGGCAGGGGTCCGGCTGTCCTGCTGAGAGCCTGGGGCAGGGGTCCGGCTGTCCTGCTGAGAGCCTGGGGCAGGGGTCCGGCTGTCCTGCTGAGAGCCTGGGGCAGGGGTCCGGCTGTCCTGCTGAGTACCTGGGGCAGGGGTCCGGCTGTCCTGCTGAGAGCCTGGGGCAGGGGTCCGGCTGTCCTGCTGAGAGCCTGGGGCAGGGGTCCGGCTGTCCTGCTGAGAGCCTGGGGCAGGGGTCCGGCTGTCCTGCTGAGAGCCTGGGGCAGGGGTCCGGCTGTCCTGCTGAGAGCCTGGGGCAGGGGTCCGGCTGTCCTGCTGAGAGCCTGGGGCAGGGGTCCGGCTGTCCTGCTGAGAGCCTGGGGCAGGGGTCCGGCTGTCCTGCTGAGAGCCTGGGGCAGGGGTCCGGCTGTCCTGCTGAGAGCCTGGGGCAGGGGTCCGGCTGTCCTGCTGAGAGCCTGGGGCAGGGGTCCGGCTGTCCTGCTGCACTGAACCCACTGTTAATCGCCACTCCCCACACGGCCGCTAATGACTCCCTCAGTAGGGCCTGCGGTGGGGATGTTTACTGAACAGGAAGTAAAATTGTAATCTCCCGTTCAAACAGAATATTCACACAACAATAAAATTATAGGTGTGGCCTCAGGGAACCATTCCTAGGACTTGGTGCTTCAGTGAAGAAGCAGTTCCCGCTGGGAGCGGAGCAGCATGGGCTCTGTGTGGGCCGAGAGTGGGATCAGTGTCAGCTGCCAGCGCTGTACCAGCGATGCCACGGCCACCAGCTGTGCAGGGGCCCACGGCGGCAGCGGGCACCCATGAGAACCATCCGCAGGGGGAGTCATCAGGGCCACGCAGCCCCAGGGCGGGGGGCGACAAGGCAGGAGAGTGCCCCCAGCACCTACCACCCTGCCCAGGCTGTCCCCTTTCCAGGCAGAAATGAAAACAGGTCATATTCTCATACTGCTGGGCCTAGCACATGCGAGATCTGCCTAGACACGGTGAGTTTGCAAAGTACCAGAGACTGGAGACCGTCACCACAGCAACATACACCTCGCAGTTCTGGAGGCTGGAGGTCTAGGATCCGGTTGCATGGCCGGCTCCTCCGAGGCTGCGAGGCAGGACCGGTCCCATCCTCTCCCCAGCTCCCCGTGGCGGCCAGCAGCCCTCGGTGATCCTTGGCCTGAGAAAGCACCGCCCTGACCTCGGCCTTCATCTTCGCACGGCCTCTCCCTGCGTGCCTGTCTCCAGATCCCCTTTCCATAAGGGCGCCTCGTGCTGGGGTGAGGCCCGGCCTCCTGACCGCCCCTTAACCTGATTTTCTCTGTAAAGACTCTGTCTCCAAACAAGTCACATTCTGAGGTGCTGGGGGCTGGGATGTCAACACCTTCCTGAGCTGCACACATTGACCTAGGACAAATGGCATTTTCAAATTAAAAAAAACTTTAATTTTGAGTAAATTTTACAAAAAACTTTTAAATATACTATGGAGAGTTCCCGTAGCTCCCTCACCTCCCGCAGGACAGCACTGCACCGAAGCAGGGTCCGCTGATGGGCCTGGGGTCAGCGCCATCCACAGAATGGGAGTTGCCGGGGCTCCCACTGAGGTCCTACTCCGGGACCCCAGGCTGCGTCGAGGGGTCACCTTTGTGGGACCCCAGCCTGGATGGGTCCTCAGGCTTCCCTTGTCCTTCATTATCCTGGCCAGTCTGCAGGGAGCTGGCCGGGAGTTGGTGGAATGCTCCTTCCTGATTGGGGTGGGCATACTGACGCCAGTGTGCTGTGCTCACACCCTCGTCCTCGCCTGTCCAGGCATCCATGCTGTTGGCAGCTCTAACGTGCCAGTGGTGGCTGCTGGACACCCTGGCTGTGGGTGTCTCAGGCCCCGAGTTCTGGCCTCAGTAGCAGGAAGGACAGTGGGTGGGTGCGGGGTGTCCATGGTGGGGGCCACAGTGCCGCCAGCTTTGCTCAGTGGGAATGTGGGGCCCACAGAGGGACCCAGGTTGCCTGTGGACTTTTCCTCCTGCTGCCCCTTGAGACACAGCAGTGCCTGCCTCAGCTCTTCTTGGGGGAAGTGGGGCGGGGCACCTGCTTCTCAACATGTCAGTGACTGCCTGGCCAAGCGGGCAAGCAGGGCTGGGAGGTCTCACTGCGTGCCCTGCCCACAGGAGTTTCTGGAGAGACTCGCTCTGTTTCTAGGGGCAGACTTGGGCTGGCAGAGGCGACCCTTGGCAGTGGCAGGAGCAGCCCCTGTCTGGTCAGGGCAGCCCAGACCGGTCCCTCCAGCCCCTGCAAGCACCTATCAGACTCCTTTCTGCAGAAAGAGCCAGAAGGATGCCACCATCTGCAGCTGGCCCTTGGGACCCCAGGTCTCCAGCTGCCCCTCCCACCATCCTGAGTCCTCACACTTCTTCATGCTTGTGATGAGGGCGGTGAGCCCTGAACTCTGTTTAGGGCCAGAGAAGGGGTTGCATCAGTGACCTCAGGCCCGCAGCATCGTTCCTAGTGGCCTGGACACTGGGCGGTCGTCTCAGATGGGAATCCCAGGATGCAGCAGTGTAAGGACAGCAAGCGGGCAGCAGCAGGCCCGGAGGTCCGACCCCATGGCTCACGGGTGCCCTGCCTGCCCACTCCCTGGCTTGTGCACTGGGCCTCGGGGTCCCGAGCCCGGCAGCCGATGAAACCTCCGAGATCCTTGGAGTCTTGGGGCTCACACCCTGGCTCCCCATCTGAGGGGCTCCCTGGGTTGGGGCTGCTGTGATGCGTGCTCAGCGTCTTTTCCTGAATTCCTGCCTCCGCCTCTAAAGCTGCAGGGACAAAAGAGCAAACCAAATCAAGCCCTAAGGCACTCCAGGAGTCCCCCTACCCCCCCGGGCCAAGGCCTACTCTTGTCCTAGCCCGACTGGCCCCCAGGCCTGTGCCCGGTATCTGGCTGAACCCCAGGGCCTGCAGCACCCATCTGACCCCCAGGGTGATGGCCGGTCAGGAAGGCTTGTGGGTCAGGCCTGCTCAGAGCCCAGGATAGATTTCGCAACCCCCACAGAGCTGGGTGGGACAAAAGGTCCATTTTTGTGGCCATTGTTGATGTCTCCTCCTGTGAGTCACAGAGGTGGCCCCACCTGCATCGGTGAGGCGGAGTGAAGGTGCCACTCTGGGAAGCCTGGCTGTCCCTGGGTTCCCCGTGGAAGCCCCACTGCATCGGAGTACAGAGCGTGAAGCCACGTAAAAATCTTTATTATCTTGGCAATTTCCTAAGTCATTGGTTCCCGTGTTTGTAAGATAAACCCACAGCCTTGGAACGTGCTGTGCTGGGGTGACGCTCCTGCTTGGGAGGTTGGAGCGGGGGCTTCCTCGGGTCACCCCAGGGCCCTGGGGGCCACACATCAGACCCTCCAGCTGCTCCAGTAGTGGACAGTCAGGGGCACCACCGAGGCTCTCATCCCTGTTAGAGGTTCTGGCCCTGGCGGGCCCTCGAGATGACTCACGGTGGGACTCTGGGGGGAGTGTGGCTGGACGGAGCTGGTCCCGGGGCTCCTGCCACCAGGCAGCCCCACTCAGCCATAGCCGGGGTGTCTGCACGGTTCCCAAAGGGCCCTGAGAAGAAAGGAAGATGGTGCCCGACTGCCTGTTCATGCAGCCCACTCACAACGTCCAGGCAGGGGAGGCGAACAGCACCCCTGCCCAGAGGAATGAGTAAGAAGGCGGAGCGTCCACACCAGGAAAAATGGGGAGTGTCCACACTGGGGAGGATGCGCAGTGTCCACGCCAGGGGAGGGTGCAGAGTGTCCATGCCGGGAAGAATGCGGAGTGTCCACACCAGGAAAAATGGGGAGCGTCCACGCCGGGGGAGGGTGCGGAGCATCCACGCCGGGAAGAATGCGGAATGTCCACAACAGGGAAAATGCAGTGTGAATATTCCGCACTCATAAGGGAAAACCCTTAAAAAGGAAGGATGTGCTGACGCCACTGTGTAGACAAACCTGGGGACCCTGTGCTCAGCCCTGAAATAAGGCCAAATGACTTGTCCAGAACGACAGATTCCCAGACAGAAAGCAGAATGGGGGGTGTCGGGCTGGGAGGAGGTGGGGGCGTGGCCCCTGAAGGCAGGGGGAGGTGGGGGAGGCAGTTGGGGAGGAGAGTGGGGCGGGGCTCCTGAAGGCGGCGGTTTCTGACTGCGGTGAGGATGAGAACCTGGGATGGCACCGCTGGAGTTGGGTGGGTGCCATTGCAAACATCCGAGTACACAGACATGTGCCGTGTAAGATGGCTAATTTTAGGTTATGTGAATTTTGCTTCCAGTAAAAACTAAAATAAAAAGGTACAGTGACCACGTCAGTGGGGCCAGGAGGAAGTGAGGTGATGGAGGGAGGGATCCTCCAGGGTCCTCTGGAGGCTGCAGAACCTTGTCTGGGGCCTGCAGATTTGCAGGGAGGCATGGGCCGGAGGCTACAGAACCTCGTATGGAGCCCGTGGATTTGCCGGAGGTGTGGGCCAAGGCGGGCAGCCTGGGGTGTGTCCTGGTCTCAGGGCATCTCACCAGGGAAAAGGGCCCCGAGCTGGGCAGGCCTGGGCTGCCTCCTTGACTCTGCCTGTGCCTGTACCCACTTGGGGTCCGGAGCAGGTGGAAGGCGGTGGTGCCTGGTGTGGCCCCTGCTCTGTCTGCTGCTCTCTCCTCCTGGGGGCTGAGGGAGACGTGTGGGATGTGAGCTGGAACAGCACAATCAGAGTCCCTGAGCCACGAGCTGAGTCGGGAGTCCCTGGCCTCCGAAGCACAAGCCTAGAGACCTCCAGTGTCCCTGGGGATGGACCTGCAGCATTTCTGAGAACACAGATGCTGACTCCACGAGGCCGACTTAGAGCCGCCGTCCTCACCAGAACCCGTCAGGAAGGGCCTGAAATCAGTGGTCTTTTCAGGGCTGTCGGAACAGACGGGGCTTCCAGGGCCCGGGGTGGGGCCGGGGCCCGGCAGTGTCTTCCTGAGTCACATCCGCTTTCTCCTCCTCACTTGCTCCAGGGACCTTCACTCCGGGGTGTGCGGCTGAGGGCAGAGGTTTCCGAGTCCTTCTCTGTCCTCGGCTGCTGCACTCGCGGAGATGCTGATGAGGAGAAGGCAGGGTGCCGTGTGTGTCCTCTCCACCAGCCTGCGGCCCCCGCCCACACAGGACCGAGTTTCCTCGTCTGTAAAGGGCAGGTCATTGTCCTTCCTCATGCTGTCGTCTGGGCGCTTAAACGAGGGGACACTTGCAGCCACGCGGGGCAGACACAGGTGCTTTTTATGACCCCAATGTCAATGTTGCACGGCAGAAAGTTGGGGAGCCGGGACCCCCGGCCCACCCGAGCCTAAGCCTGAGCCAAGGACGTGTCCTGGCAGGGAGAGGGAGTCCCTGGGGTCTTGTGGGACGTGTCCACAGGGCACGCCGGGGCCTGGCTTCCCCAGGCCTGTGGACACGGAAGGCAGGAACAGGAAGGGGCTGCAGCCGGGCCACCACGGGGGGCAAATGCTTGTCCATCGCAGATGGGCGTCTGAGGCTCTCGGGCTGCCTCTGCCATGCCCCGGGCCCCACCTGGCTCTCTGGGGGGCGGCCTGTTAGGATAATGGCCTGGCACTGAAGCCTTCCTGGGCACTGTTGCGGCCGGTCCCTCCCCAGTTCTCCGCCGGCCGCGTGATGGAGCTCTGACGGGGACAGACTCCCGGCCGGAGCTAATCGAAGCTGAAAAGGTGGAATCAGCGTGTGTCGTATCCTTTTGCCACCTTCATCAATCCAGCTAACTGGGTTTGAGCTGCGCTCGGCAAATGTTCTGCAGCGGGAAATTAATATGTAAGACATCTGAGGCCTGACGGCGGCCGCAGGGCCAAGCGGGTGCTCGGGCAGGGTGGCCTCCTAGGGCCACCACGGCTGCCGCCCGCTGAGGACCTGCAGTCTGGGGAGGGTCCCCACCCTGGCCCCCACCCTCTGCATCATCAATTCAGTTACCTCCGGGGTTGATACATATTCAGGCCCGAGGACGCCAGGGTGGAAGGAGACAAAGGAATCTGTATTTACCCAATAATAAGTTCCATTTGGAGGAGGTTTGAAAACAATTCCCCGTCACATTTGTCCCTGTCAGATCACATTATTCACAAATGAAGTTCACAAAGTATCAATTCAATTTCAATGAGGCGCTGGCTGGCGGGGCTGGGGCTGAATTTAGCTGGGTGCTGGGGGGGCGTGGACAGCGTGGCCGTCAGAGGTAATCAAAGGCAGGCGCAGCGGGCAGGCTTTCCATTTCACCCACTCTGTGCACATCTGTTCCTGGATAATCCCATTTTCTACACTTCCAAATCACTGAAGACGGCAGCTGGGGGGGCTCCAGGCCCCTGGGAGCCAAGGTGGGGCCTGGGGCTGTGCTCCCACCCAGTGCCGGGGCCTCCTGGGACTGGCACCTCTCCAGGTCAGGCTGCAGCTGTCCTGGTCCCCGGGCCGTGTGGGGTCACCAGGCCTCACGCCCCATGGGGCCTCTCCCTGCGGCCACATGTCTGTGGGTCCCGTCCCTCCCTGACTTTGGGAGCTACGCTAGGACTCCAAGTGCGGCAGGCCAGGTCTCACTAACGCAGGCCTCCACAACACCTGTTTCAGCACTGACTGTGCAGTGAAGTTAAATATTAAAAGCCAGTGCCCTGATACAAACGCTGGAGTGTAACAAAAGCCCACCCAGAGTTTTGCCCAGGCCTTTTGTTTTGCCTGGCCCAAAACTCTTGCCCAGGCCCAGAGTTTTGCCTGGGCCTTAAAGCGACAAGACGATGAAGGAATTCTTCACAGGACCCATTTAGGATTAAATAAGTTTTACTGTGGGTCTGAAGGAACTCCCCAAACCTCCGTGATTTAGCAGGAGACAAGATAAGGGCAATCACCTCAGCACCTGGACCCATTTAGATTAAGTAAACTTAAACTTGCTGAGGCTCCAGAGGAAGGTCTTCAGGACTCAGACCTTCGTTATAGATGAAGAGAAGTTCATCACTTACGTCTTGAGATGAATGCACACTTACACGTAGACATAGAGCTTAGAAGGTAGATAAGCTCTGGAAAACTGTAATTTTGAGTTGGTCTGGTGATAATTTCCCAGCCTTCTCCTTGTAACCAGTTGCAGAAATAAAACCTCTCTTCCTCCCCAGTTCATCTGCATCTCGTTATTGGGCCACGAGAAATAGCAGCCTGACCCTCGGTTTGGTCCCGGAATGCAAGGGGGATGTTCCTGCACCCTCCCACCTCTGCCCTCCCACCCCTCTCCTCCCACCCCTGCCCTCCCACCTCTGCCCCCCGACCCCTGCCCTCCCACCTCTACCCTCCCACTCCTCCCCTCACCTCTGCCCTCCCACCCCTGCCCTCCCACCCCTCCCCCCACCTCTGCCCTCCCACCCCTCCCCTCCCACCTCTCCCCTCCCACCACTGCCCTCCCACTGCTGGAACCCTCCCTCTAGCCCGGGCACCTGTTAGCACTTCCGCGTGTCCGTGGGTCCCGGTCAGCAGCCCCTCCTTTCCCGGCACTGGTGAGGCTGGGGGGAGGGGAGGCTGGGTGTTTCTGGGGCTTCTGGGTCAGACGACTCTTGGATCCACTCCAACCTCAGAGCGGAGGCCAGGGGCCAAGGGCTACAGGGGTGGACCCAGCCCCATCCCCAGCCCTTCCCACTCGACCTTGTCATCCAACCAGTCCCAGGTCACAGGTATAGCACCAATGAGCACCTCCCAGGACCCAGGAGGACTGCCAGGGGTGGGGGTCAGGGGCATGGCTGAGGGATCAGGCACCCCCCAAGGCACGCTGGGCTGGAGGGGGCTCAGCAACCCCAAGAGGCTCTCTGAGTCTCAAGGTGCCCTGGCCTTTCCCCTGCCCCAGCATGGACCTGCCCCCAGCAGCAGGACAGCCGTTCCTCTGCCCAGGCCTCTCCTGTCTGCTCCGGGGCTGCCCCTGCCACACCTGGACTCTCCCAGCTGCTGGACTTGCATGTCCCAGCACAAAGCTTGCCTCCTGCCCCTTCACTGCCTCTGAGGACCAGTGGCTCCTCCTCACCAGCCATAGGCACACAGCGGGCCTGATGCTACCTGGGGCCCCTGGTTCTAGATGCTGCTTCCCTGTGGCACAAGGCAGTGGGTGGGCCCTGGCGCCGCCGCCCTTGGCTCAAAGGGTCCCACTGTCCCGTCAGAGACTGCCGACCCCCTACCCAGGGGTCTGCACCCAGTGTCTCAGCCCAGTGTGGCCCAGGAGGCAGCCCCACCCTGCTGTGACCCTGGCCCTCCACCGCCCCATCTGTGAAGGGAAGGCTCAGGTCCTTGCTATGCTGGGTTGGGCTGGTCTGGGCCTCACAAAAGACTGCAGACCCCACGTGAGCCTCAGGAGCGGACGGGGAGCCAAACAGATACTGGGGACCCGGGCTGGATGTAGGACCTGGGTGTGGAGTGGGGGCATCAATGGGCTTGGACCCCTCCGACCGAACCCTAACCACAGCAGCCTCTCAGCGTGGGTGCGAGGGAGCCGTGGGCCTGCGTGTACGTGGCGTGTGCATGAGCGTGGGTGTGAGGGAGCCGTGGGCCTGTGTGTGTGTGTGTGGCGTGTGCGTGAGCGTGGGTGCGAGGCGTCGCCATGGGCCTGTGTGTGTGTATGTGCGGCGTGTGCGTGAGCGTGGGTGCGAGGCATCGCTGTGAGCCTGTGTGTGTCCGCGCATGTGCCTTGTGCCTTTCGTTGCCGCCCTCCCAAGCAAGATGTAACAGGAAGGCTGCAGGGATGGGTCTGGGGTCCTGGGCTGTTTGGGGAGTGTGAGGATCCCTGCCGGTCTTGATGTGGCCTCTTTCTGCTTTCGGCCGCATTGGACATTAGCACCCTGCTGGGCAAAAAATGGTTTCATGCTCCTGGAAATTGGCGGGGCCAACATGCTGATTGATTTTCCAGGCAGGCCCCTGGGTCCCCGCGGTTCCTCTGGCTGGGTGGGGTGGGCTGCCCGGCTGTGGCAGCCACCTGTGGGATGTAGGGGTCGGGAGGCACCGGGGTGTCTGCCCCAGAGGCCTTGACTGCAGGTATCTCTGCCCACTGATGAGGTCCAGCTTCAGAAACGGGAGAAAATGCCATTGTCATCCTGTTTCAGCGAAAGCTAATCTGTGTCTTTGCTTCTCCATTTGGCTCTGCTGTGCGCCCCTAGGGGGTTCTGGGACACGACCCCATGGAAAGGGCCTTAGTGAGAGCGAGGGATGCCGTCACCACCGCCCCCCCCGCCCGCTGCCACCCCATAGCACCTGCCTGTGTGCTGGCCGCGTCTCCCATCTGCAAAGGCAAGACCTGGGTCCCTGCAGCCCAGCACCCATGTGGGGCTGCCTCACCCCGGGAGTGTGCAGGAGGCTGGGGGTCCTGTCAAGTAAGAGGACGGAGTGCCGGGGCCACCCTGGAGCCGAGGTCTGCGCTGGTCCCCATTCGAGCAACTTGGAGCTGCACCGGGCTCTCGGGCGCCTGCTTGCTGTAACACTCTGGGGGAGCCATGGGGGCGCGGGGTGGAGGCTGCCGGGCTCTCCTGCCCCTCACTACCTCCCTCATGGCTTCCCCTCTTTTGCCCCTTTCCCGGATTCTGCTGCGCCCTGGGGAGCCCCCGCTCTGGGCAGGCGTGACCCGAGGGGCAGGAGAGGCCGGGCCCTGCTGGCAGCAGCCCCACTTCAGAATCTTGTCTGGATCGTAACCGGCGCTGGGCCCTCTTGATATATTGATCCCAGGGCCAAAGCATGTTGTAAAATGAGGTGATCATAATGGGATTTAAAGTTATGATGGCGAAGTCGTGCAACATAGCCGGGCCTTGGCAGTTTCATTAACCACTGAAAAATCACATGGACGCTAGAGGCTGCAGATACCTCCGGAGACGAGGCTTGGCCTGGCCTGGGGCCTCCGTTTGAGAACTGGGAGATACACCTAATGCTAGATGACAAGTTAGTGGGTGCAGCGCACCAGCATGGCACATGTATACATATGTAACTAACCTGCACATTGTGCACATGTACCCTAAAACTTAAAGTATAATAATTAAAAAAAAAAAAGAAAGAATTTGTAGCCCAGCTTTTGTTTTCCTTCTTTTTCTATGGATAGAAGGACATTCCTTCAAACCCAGGAAGCTGAACACCCACGGCAAAGCCTACCGTGCCTGTGGGGCAGCCTCAGCCTCCTGGGATCTCCTCGGCTCCAGGTGACTTCTCTGAGCACACACACACACACACACACACGCCGGCACATGCACACACACACACGCGCACACACGTACACGCACACGTGCACACGCACGCACACACACGCACACGCACAAGTGCACACACACACCAGCACACACACGTGCACACATGTACACGGACACACATGCACCTGACCATGCGCTCAGACACACATGCACACAGTCACACGCATGACCCACTTGCATGTTCACATGGTGTGTGCGCACACACGCACACACACACGCACACACACACGCCGGCACATGCACGCACACACACGCACACACACACGTGCACGCACACACACTGCCTGAGCTCCACCTGTCCAGTACTGTGGGGATGGGCCCAAGGGGGAGCTTCCCTTCCCCGTCTGGTGTGGCAGACGGCTGTGTCCCTTGTCTCCAGCTCACGCCTCTTGTGTCACACTGGTTGAGTGTGTCTCTTGCATTTCCAGAAAAGGTGAGTGTGTTCCGGCCTGGGAAGGTGGGTGAAACCCGGGTCTCCTCCTTTCAGTCCAGCGAGGCAGGTGCTGGTGCTCCCTGGAGGAGGTTCTAGGGGCCCTCCCAGTACCCTGGGGTTCTCGACTCAGTGGTGTCATGGGTGCTGAACAGTGCAAGGAGAATAGTCTGTCTTTGGCTGTGGTTCCGAGGACCCCCAACCAGGGGAAACAGTGTGGCTGTCCTGGGCCTTTTCTCAATTGTTGGGGGGTGAGGGGAGTGGCTTTGCAGAGCTATGTGCTGGGACTGGGGACCTGGATGATGTGAGAGGCTCTCCCAGCTTCCAGAAGCTCTTGGTATGGGCGGGGGGAGGGCGTAGGCCCAGCAGCCACAGGCAGCGGTGACACCCAGGAAGGGCTGGGGAAAGGCAGGTCAGGGGAGGCTTCTTGGAGGAGAGAGCCCAGAGCTGGCTCTAGGACGAGCTCCAGTGGCTTTGGCTCCTGTTTGCCCTTGTTGTGCACCAGCCACCCACAGCCTCCCCTCCTGCAGAAGCACAGACACACTCCGCAGACACACTCCCACCCAGGACTGCCATGGCCACAGGGGTGCACTCTGGTCGGTGTGGGCTGAGGGGTGCGTCCTGGTGGGTCTCAGCCGCACACTGCTCGGCTTGCTGTCTTGGGCTATGTCCTCGTGGGGCATGAAGCTGGACAGAGGACTTTTCCTGGGTCCCCAACGTCCCGGGGCAACAGGGTGGAAGGAGCTGGTGGGGCCCTCCAGTGCCTCTGTGGCAAGGAGTGCCCCAACCCAGGAGCTGCCTGGGCCCAGCCAGGAGCACGGCCCAAGCCTGGCCTGTGCCTCACCGGACGTAGAGATGTATCGAATTCAGCTTAGCAACCCAGGCATGAATGCCCGGCCTTTAAAGAGAAACTTATCTGTAATTAAAATCATGCACAAGTTTTAGAAAGAGTGTTTACAACTGGGAAGAAAGCTGATTGTGAAAAAGAATAGGCTTCCGTTGGGGCTGGGAGTGTTTAATTCAGAAATAAATCCCCCCACGGGAGGTGCTTCTCCGGGGCTCTTTTCCCTGGTGCTTTTGGGGGCTGGCGGCTGGCGTGGCGCCGTGTGGATGCTGTTGACGGTGACCTTATCGAGCTCCCATCGCAGACGCGAGGGCCGGGCTGCGGGCTCCCGGGTGGCTGGAGAAATTTGCTGCGAACTCAGGTCCTCCGCTTGTGAGCAATAAATTAGTCCAGTTAAAATCAGCAGGACCTGCTTATTCAAAGTTTATGTTTCCCTGTAAGCAGATGGTGGCCTCAGCACGTGTGGAGCAGGTGGCATCAATCATGGCTTTGGGATTTAGGAGACAGTAACACTGCTCTCAGCGGGAGAGCCTCTGCCCTGACGCGCGGCAGTCAGAACGTGATTTACGCTGGTCCGGGCTGGCTGCGGCCGCCGGTGTAATTTAGGAGGTGAGGGTGGCGATTCGGCGTTAATTGTGGGAAGGCTGATGGATCTCTGTCCCCACAGCCCCCTGCCGGCCCCTTCACCGCATCGGCGTGACCCTCTGCAGTCCTTCTTGCCATCAGAGATGACCAGCGTGGCCAGTCGGGGGCTAATTGCTTTTCTGAGCATTGATTGCAATTAAGAGCACACATTTGAGTGGGAAGATGAGGGGCTTCGGGCTGGAACGCGGCCTGAGGCGTGGGCAGCTGACTGGCCTCTGAGTACCCAGAGCCCCCGGGCAGAGCAGCTGTCCCGAGGCCTCTGAGCCACCAGCCCCTGTGATGTGAGATGCGCCCGAGACCCTCCCTGCCTGCCCCACCCAGGCCCAGAAAACCCCCAGGATGAGGAGGCCGCGCACTGTGTTCGCGTCCAGGTGGATTTAGCTTGCCACGCTCAGCCGCCGACGGGCACTCGAAAGAGACCCCCGTGAACTGATGTTCCTGGCAGGCTCCCCGTGGCGCCCACAGACCCAAGCCCCTTGGCCACTGTGGCTCACTATGGACCACCCAGGGCTCAGGGCTCGTCTCTCACGGAGTTAGGGGCAGGACCCCACCACCCAGACTTCCCGCTGGGGTCCGCCCCTTGGCGTGGGTCTTTCTGACCGGCTTTGCCGAGAGGCAGGACCCCTTGGTGACTAGGGGGTGTTTAGCAGCGGGGGACAGTTTACCACCCCCTGCGTCTGTGTGGGCACGTGGCTCCGGTTTCACTCGTGGGTGCGTGTCTGTGAGGTGTGATTCCTGGGTCGCCGTGGCCGTGTCAGCTGTCCCCGAGTCCCACTGACTGTCCTCTGAGCGCGTCCTCTGTCTCACTCACCCCGTTTTGGCCCAGCCATTCCCTGGGGCTGGTGTTTTGAGGCTGTGAATTGCTAATGGGGGTCCCTGGAGGCTGCTGGGGACACATCGGGGTGGGCAGGAGGCTCCGGACCCAACAGAGATGGGGGTCCACGGCCGGTGCCTGGGAAGGGGTCCCCCCACGGCAGGTTCTGCCTGGATTTCCTGGCAGGCTGGACCTGGGTGGGTGGGGGGGCGTCCAGGACCCCTGCAGATTCGATGCAGGTGCGGAGCCAGGCTGCCGGCTGGAGTCAGGGCTGGCGGACAGGGTTGGGCGCCCCTACCTACAGATGCTGGTGGGGAAGGCAGGACAGGTGGAAGGCCTGAGCCCTGGGGTCACCGGGACAAGTGGCTTCCTTAGAGCCCACACAGGCCTCCCCTGTGCCCAGCTGGCTGCCTGGGTGCCTGGACCCCCACCGCTAAGCTCACACGAAGGCCAGATTCAGAGAGGTATGGCCTGCGCCAACCTGCTGGGGGGCAACCCTGTCCTCCTGGCCCACCAGCCCTCGGCCCTGCTCCTCCCTCATAGCCCACACCCTGCCCGGCCTTCAGCTGCCCCCACCAGCAGAGACTCTGCTGCTGCTTCTGTGTCTGAAGGCAAATCTGTCCTCCCTCTTGGGAGACATTGCCCACCCCAGGCCCCTCCGTCTGCCTCCCTTTCTCCGGTCACCCTCTGATCCCTGCATCTCGGTGAGGAGAGTCAGCAGAGTGGAGCAGGGCCGAGGGGCGTCTGGCCCAGACACACACACAGCTGCCAGGACAGGGACGCAGGCAGGGCCTCTGCTGCTGATGGGGGACAGAGCGGGGGGTCCCTGATGCTCTAGGCCTGGGCCCCGGTAGGTGCAGCCTCCTCCTGCTGCCCAGGGCGGGGAAATGACCGACTGTCCCCTTCCTGCTGGGAGAAGTGTGTCCCCACAAGGACAGGTGACTCCTAACACCCAGTCCCCACTCATTCCAGAGAAAATGGACTTTCACCCAGGCCGAGCCTATCCTTGGGGGCCTCGCCTCCAGCCTCCAGCCTCCCTGTGGGAGCCGATGTCCTGCCTGTGGGCAGGGAGGGAGGTGTGTCCAGGTCTCCTCAGAGCTGTCCCTGACACACAGCAGCTGCGTCTGTTGGTTTTAACACCAGGGAGAAATACAATTATTTCTTAAATACAGCCTTCTGATTTATTTCTTAAACCCGACCTCACCTAAGCAGCTGTCAATAGGGGTTTTCTGCTACTTGCTGCCAACTCCATGCTACGTGCCATAGACCAGAGCTCCCTGCTGTCCACACGAGGCATCTTCAGGCAGATTACAGGAGAAAATACGGGCACTCATCTCTGTGACCTTAGTAAGCACTGACCAAGGGAGGGCCCTGAAGAGAAGCTGTGTCAAACCCCAGAACTTCTCTTTGTCAAATGATACCCCAAGAGAGGGGACCTCCAAAATGACACCCCAAGAGAGGGGACCTCCAAAATGACACACCAAGAGAGGGGACCTCCAAAATGACACACCAAGAGAGGGGACCTCCAAAATGACACCCCAAGAGAGGGGACCTCCAAAATGACACACCAACAGAGGGGACCTCCAAAATGACACACCAACAGAGGGGACCTCCAAAATGACACACCAAGAGAGGGGACCTCCAAAATGACACAAGAGAGGGGACCTCCACACGCCTGAGAGGATATTTTCTGTGCACAGAAGCAAAGTACTAGTATCCAGAAAGAATTCCTAGAATCAGCCAGGCGCGGTGGCTCACGCCTGTAATCCCAGCACTTTGGGAGGCTGAGGTGGATGGATCACTTGAGGTCAGGAGTTGGAGACCAGCCTGGCCAAGATGGTGAAACCCTGTCTCTACTAAAAATATAAAAATTAGCTGGGTTTGGTGGCGGGCACCTGTAATCCCAGCTACTTGGGAGCCTGAGGCAGGAGAATCGCTTGAGGTCGGGAGGTGGAGGTCGCGGTGAGCTGAGATCACCCCACTGCACTCCAGCCTGGGCGACAGAGCAAAACTCCGTCTCAAAAAACAAACGAACAAAAAAAAAGCGTTCCTAGAATTAATCAGATCAAGACAGACAACTCAGTATGAAAACCAGCAAAGGCACACACAGGCGCACACAGGCACACACAGGCACTTTGCGCGGTGAGTGTCAGTGGGTGTGAGGGAAGAGGCTCTCCCTGGCTGGCACCAGGGTCAGGGGGGATCGCTGCACCCACCAAGCAGCAACGAACAACACGGAAGCTGGCGGCAGTGTGTGTGCATGCGTGTGGCCCCAGAGCCCCAGCCCCAGCACCAGGGGATGAGCCAGACCAGCGACTTGGGACAATTTGGTTGAGTGTGGGAAGTGGGCAGCGTGAACCCAGAGGACCCAGGAACCTACACCTGAGCAGGGCCTTTCTCGCTTTTTTTTTTTTGAGGCGGGATCTCACTCTGTCACCCAGGCTGCAGTGCAGTGGTGCGATCATAGCTCACTGCAGCCTCAAACTATTGGGCTCAAGTGCTTTCAAACTTTTTATTGCAATTTACAATCTTTTGTAAACATCAAATATTTCAAAATTAAAAACTTAAAATTTGAGTTAAAAAAAGCTAAGCTGGCAGGGCGTGGTGGCTCACACCTATAATCTCAGCACTGTGGGAGGCTGAGGTGGGAGGATCACTTGAGCCCAGGAGTTCGAGATAAGCCTGGGCAACATAGCAAAACTTCACCTCTACAAAAAATACAAAAATGAGCTGGGCGTGGTGGTGCACGCTACTCAACTACTCGGGAGGCTGAGGTGGGAGAATCACTCGAGCCCGGGAGTTGGAGGCTGCAGTGAGCTGCGATCACATCACTACACTGCAGCCTGGGTGACAGAGTAAGACCCTGTCTCAAAAAGAAAAGCTAAGATTTGGACTCAACCATGAGCTGGCCCGGCTTACTGCCAGGGAGGGTCACTGTGGGATTCTCACCCTCAGTGCTGGTTTTACTCTGATTCTCTGCCCCAGCCCTGGGCTCGGCTGTTTCTCTAAATACGACTTGGGAGGTATTTAGGATCTGGTATCTGAGTGGCCCATGTGCCGACTGTCATCAGGGTGTTATTGCTTCCAGCCCGTCAGTGGTCAGAGCTGGGACGCGTGTGCGTGTGTGGATAGACTCACGTATGTAAAGAGCACAGGACGACATTTTGGGCTGGATGATTAAAAAAAGGGACACAGTAGAACAGGTGACAACATTTGAATGTTGTAGCTTAGATCATATTTTATTAACGTTAATTTCCTTATTTTGATGTTTGTACTACAGTTACATAAGAGAATGTCCTTGCTTTTAGGAAGTGTGCATTGCACTTAGAGGGACATCATGTCTGCAGCCTACTTATAAATGATAAAAAACGATGTAGATAGAGGAGGAGGGGGAGCGTAGGAGACAGCAAGGGTGCTGAAGGCCAGCATTTGCGGAATCCGGTGAAGGATGTGTGAGAATTCTTTGCACTATTTTTGCAACTTACCTAGACGTCTGAAATGATTTAACAATGCTAAAAGATGATGTACTCTTACCCCCAGGAAAGGAGGAAAATGCTGAGATTGGATGGATTCTTTGTGTGAAATTAGTAACAAAATACTCAGAACTGTTATATTTTAGGAGGATATAATCAATAGATATTCTGGGTTAGCTGCTACCCATATGGATGCAGCAAAATTTGACCCTGCAGAAAAAAAAAATCTTCATGGCTTCGGGATGGGGGATGTTAAATAGTACACATGAAGTGCCAACTATAAAAAATTTAGAAAAGCAGAGCTTTTGCTCATCAAAATCACCACAGGCCATCATCCAAGGGCTTGTATAATCACAACATAAAAAACTGCTACAGACGTATAAGAAAAAGTCAACGCAATGTCAAAAACTAGCAAAAGACTCAAACAGGCACTTCACAAAACACGGCACCTAGGGACCAAGCAGCATGCAAAAAGGTGCTCAACGTCATTAGGAAGCAGGGGTGGCAAAATAAAACCAAAATGAGATGCCGCCACGCATCTACCAGGGTGGCCAGAATGAAGAAGACTGAAAGCCTCAAGGGTTGGCAAAGAAGTGGAGCAGGAATGTGCTGGTAAGCGCCTAACAAGCACTCACCTGATCTGCAGCGCGGGCTGATTTCCATGGTGCAAATACTCCTGCTGTGGTTGATTTCCAGTTACCAGTCTTGTTGCTCGTGTGGAGTTGGAAGAGATTGGCATGGTTGGCTCTTGCAAGCCCCTGTGAGCCAGCTCCAGCCACTACTAAGGAGCAATCAGAACTCCCATCCCTGCTGGTGTCATGTACGTTGGTGCAAGCACGTTAGGAAACTCTCTGGCAGCATCTACAAAAGCCAAGCACAAGAACTCCCTTTGACTCAGCAACCCTACTCCTAGGGGCACCTCGAAACAGAAACATACACATCATTCACAAAAAGACACGTGCAAGAATGCTCCCAGCTCTGCTACCTGGAATAGCATCAAATGAGAAAATACCCAAATGCCTACTAACAGCACGGGGAAAACTTATTTGTGGTATATCCACACAATGAAACATTCTACAAATGAGAATGGGCAATTTACTGCTACACATGACAAAATGAATGTGCTTCCTAGACACAATGTTGATTGAGCAAAAGTGTTCAGACACAAAAAGTTACTCACGCAGGGTTCCTCTATATTAAGTGTGAAAACAGGCTGAACAAACTCATGGAGTTAGAAAGTACAAAAGTAGTTACCTTTGGGGAGCACAGAGGTGCCAGGAGGTGGCATCAGATGGTAATCATCTATTTATTGAGTCGGAGGGGGTTACATGGATTTCATTTGGTGATAATTGAGTGGTACATTCATACATTAAGCACTTTTCTGTATGAATATTATGATTACATTTTTAGAGCTTTAAAAAATCATGACAATTCCTATAAACTAACAATGAACAATCCACAAATGAAATTAAGAAAGCAATTCCATTTTCAACAGTGTAAGAAAGAATAAAATACTTAGGAATAAACGTAACCAAGGAAGTGAAAGACTTGTACTTTGAAAACAACAAAACATTGCTGAAATAAATTAAAGAAGACATAAATAAGTGAAAAGACTGCCCATGTTCATGGATTGAAAGACTTCATAGTGTTATGATGACAGTACCACCCAAAATGATCTACAGGGTCAATGCAATCCTTATCAAAATCTCAACATGTTTTGTAGAAATAGAAAAGCCCCTCCTAAAATTCATATGGAATCTCATGGGACCTCAGATAGTCAAAATAATATTGAAAAAGAATAACAAAATTGGAGGAGTCACACTTTCTAATTTCAAAACTTACTACAAGATGATCTAATCAAAACAGTGTGGTAATGGCATAGAGACAGACATTTAGACAAACCAATGGAATAGAATAGAGAGTACAGGAGTAAACCCTTGCATATATGGTCAAATGATTTTCGCCATGATATACAAGTGACCGACAAGGGTGTCTAGACCACTCAATGGGGAAAGAAAGGACAGTCTTTTCAACAGAAGGTGCTGAGAAAACTGGATATCCATAGGCGGAGAATAAAGTTGGAGCTTTGATCTTAAATCACATACGAAAACTAAGTAAAAATGGACAAAAGACCTAAATGTAAGAGGGGAAACTATAAAACCCTTAAAACATAGGGAGAAATCTTTGGATTTGTCAATGATTTCTCAGATATGACACCATAAACACAGGCAAAAATAAATACAACTTACTCAAATTTTAAAACTTTTGTGCCTCAAAGGACACTATCAAGAGAGTGAAAAGGTAAACCACAGAATGGGAGAAAATATTTGCAAATCATGTACCTGATAAGGGATTAACATCCAGAATATGTAGAGAACTATAACTCAACAACAAAACAAACAACCCAATTCAAAAACTGGCAAAGGACTTGAATAGCCGTATCTCCAAAGATGATGAACAGGTGACCAAGAAGCCATGGAAAAAATCTTTATATCATTAGCCATTAGGGAAATGCAATCAAAACTACAGTGAGTTACCAGTTCTCTATCATTAGCCATTAGGGAAATGACAATCAAAACTACAGTGAGTTACCAGTTCTTTATCATTAGCCATTAGGGAAATGACAATCAAAACTACAGTGACTTACCAGTTCTCTATCATTAGCCATTAGAGAAATGACAATCAAAACTACAGTGAGTTACCAGTTCTCTATCATTAGCCATTAGCGAAATGACAATCAAAACTACAGTGAGTTACCAGTGCTCTATCATTAGCCATTAGCGAAATGACAATCAAAACTACAGTGAGTTACCAGTGCTCTATCATTAGCCATTAGGAAAATGACAATCAAAACTACAGTGAGTTACCAGTTCTCTATCATTAGCCATTAGGAAAATGACAATCAAAACTACAGTGAGTTACCAGTTCTCTATCATTAGCCATTAGGAAAATGACAATCAAAACTACAGTGAGTTACCAGTTCTCTATCATTAGCCATTAGGGAAATGACAATCAAAACTACAGTGAGTTACCAGTGCTCTATCATTAGCCATTAGGAAAATGACAATCAAAACTACAGTGAGTTACCAGTGCTCTATCATTAGCCATTAGCAAAATGACAATCAAAACTACAGTGAGTTACCAGTTCTCTATCATTAGCCATTAGGGAAATGACAATCAAAACTACAGTGAGTTACCAGTTCTCACCGTTAGGATGGCTACTATCAAAAAACAGAATGTAATAAGTGTTGGTGAGGACATGGACACATTTAGAACCTGAGCGTGGGTTGGTGGGAGTGCTAAATGATGCAGGTGCTGTGGAAAACATGATGAGAGTTCCTTAAAAAATTAAACCGAGAACCACCACAGGAACGAGCAATTCTACTTCTAGGTATGTTCCTTTGGTACATACTTAAAGAAATTAAAAGCAGGGATTCAGACAGATATTTGCCCTCCCATGTTCATAGCAGCACTATTGACAATAGCCAAGAGGTGGAAACAGCGCACGCATCGAAGGGTAAGCGGATAAACAAAATGTGGTATACATAAACAATGAAATATTATCCAACCTAAACAGGACGGAAGGTCTGACACGTGCTACAACACGGGTGAACCTTGCAGACATTATACCTAGTGAAATAAGACACAAAAGGACAAATACTGTGCAATTCCATTTATATGAGGTCCCTAGAATATACAAATTCCTAGAGACAGACAGTGGGATGGTGGGTGCCAGGGGTGTGGGATGAAAAGAGCTCTGTAGACGGATGGTGGGGATGGTTGTGTCGCATTGTGAATATACCCAGTGCCACAGAATTGTACCCTCAAAAAGGGTGAAAATGGTAAATTTCATGTTACGTACATTTAACCACAATTTAAAAATATGAGCAAAAAGTCACGAAGAAGTTGTTTCAGTCTGGGTCCAATCAGGAGACAGGGAGACCACACAGGGCAAATCCAGGTGATTTAATGTGGAGAATCACAAATGACCAGAAGTGCAACCAGAAGTCAGAAGGGGCTGGTGCAGGCCTTGGGGAATCTGGTGCCGGGGGCAGGCAGGAGGCCTTCAGTCGCTTCTTCCACATAGAGAGGGGAAAATCTTCCTGCCAGCCGGCCAGGAAAAAAACAAAAGACATGCATTACCTACAAATCTGTGATACTTTGGGATGAGCTTAGATTTCCCTGTGTTCTGAAATATCAAATGACTCTGAGCTACACACAGAGACATTTGGGGGGAAAGAATATGTCACACAAATTACTGTTCCCATCAGAAGAGAGCAGAAAGACATTCCCGGATGCTGCACGGTGCAGCCACCAGCCCTGTTGTAGGCGCTGAATCTTCGGTGCCCAAGGCAGGCTGTGGCACAGGGAGGGAGCTCACAAGAAGCTGGCATGAATACAGTAGTCTCCTTTCCCATGGTTCTGCCTTCCACAGTTTCAGCTACCCGCGGTCATCCACAGTCCAAAATTGTTCAATGGAAAATTCAGAATAAAACAATTCTGAATTTTAAACTGCATGATGTTCTGAGTACTGCAGTGAAACCTCACACCTGCCTGCTCCATCCTGCCCCGGACAGGAGTCATCTGTTTGTCCAGTGGATCCACGCCGCAGATGCTGCCTTCCCATTAGCCACTTAGCAGCCACTTCGATTATCAGATCGAGAAGACAGTGTGCAGGTATTGCTACTATGTGAGGTTTCCAGCTTCCACTGGTGGTCTTGGAACGTATCCCCTAGGGACGAAGGTGGTGGTGGGGGTCTTCTGAAACAATGCCAGTGATGAGAAGCCGGGAGGACGGCTGGCGCGGCCCCTCCTACGTGCTCCCAGTGCTTCTGTTAGGACAAAGGCTGTCTTCTGAAACAATGCCAGTGATGAGAAGCCGGGAGGACGGCTGGCTCGGCCCCTCCTACGTGCTCCCAGTGCTTCTGTTAGGACAAAGGCTGTCTTCTGAAATAATGCCAGTGATGAGAAGCCAGGAGGACGGCTGGCGCGGCCCCTCCTACGTGCTCCCAGTGCTTCTGTGATAGGTCTTTTTACTGTCCCCATGCACAGATTAGACAGAGGAAAACAGAGGTTAAGTGGCTTGCCCAGAGTTGCAAGTGCAGAGCCAGGAGTCGGCTCCAGAGCAGGTGCCATCCTGAATTAATGAAGACGTTGGTCCCTTGACGGGACAGCAAGGAGGCTGCAGCAGGAGCCCCGGAGCCTCGGGGCCTGAAACATACACGCTGTGTGGATGCCACACGATGAAACCACCAGTGCAGCACTTGGAAAGAGCTGCACAGCTTCCGTGAGAAGGAAGGGCAAAGGTGACTCCCCTGCTCTCGCCCTCAGTAACCAGAGGAATCTATGTTGAAAATAAATCTGAAAAAAGCAAGAAGGATTAAAACAAGTTGTTCCTTCTCCAACTCATGGAAGGTGATTTAAAAGTGCACAGCCCGAGTCCAGGGGTGAATGGCAGAGCTGTGCAAGGAGCTCAAACGGGGAAGTGTGGGAGGAGGCAGCAGAAGCCACAGCAGAGGTCCCTGTGAGGATCAATAGCACTGAGGGCAGCACTGCTTGCACCTGAGCGTCAGGGGACACACAGGGCACAGCAGGCGGATGGGAGAGTGCAGGGGCAGACACCCCCACTCCACTCTCAGAGCACCCCAGCTCCTCTGAGAACCAAGACCCTTCCCTGGCAAGGCAGAAGTGAAGGGCTTGTCTGGTGAAGCAAAGCCCACTATCCACAGGATTTGGTGGGTGTGGGAAGCATGGAGGGAGGAGATTGGCCCAGAGGGCCTGGGTGGGCTCCCAGTTCCAAGTGAGGGAGGCCCCTAGAAAGGAGAGTTTGAGTCTGGCCCCATCCCGGGAAGCTGGCCCCACCACGTCCACAGTCTTTGACGTGTCTTGTATAATTCCCCCACCCACACTGAATATCAGCTGACTTTAAGGACAAGCTTCAAACAGAAGAAGAATGGGGCAGGCTGAGGCTGGGTGACTTCCAAGGATGGATCATAAACGGCAACTTACCCTAGTCCTGGCCGCCATGTTGAGAGGAAGCCCAGGTCAAGGTGAGGCTACACGCAGGGGTCCCAGTCCCAGCCCAGCCAGCCTGACCACCTGATGGTGAGTGAAGGGGCCTCTGGACGACTCCAGCCCAGACTCCAAGTCACCCCAGTGACATCAAGAGGAGCAGAGACCAGCTGTCCTCACTGAGCCCTGCCCAAAGTGCAGATTTGTAGGCAAAACAGACGCTGTCATGGTTTTAAGACATTAGGTTTTGGGGTGGTTGGTTATGCAACAATTGATAACACTAGGCAACCTTTGCCTCCACGTGGGAGACCCTGAGGCAGACACCCGGGGGGACTCCCCAGTTTCTCCTGGCTGGTTGTCTGTGGTGGTCTTGAGCGTGTGCAGACTCTGTGGCCACTGTGGAAGCCATCACCCAGTGCTAGGGATGGAGGGCAGATGGCACATCCCTGCCCCATGTGGGCACCCTGGTACAGCCACAGGCAGAGGGGGAGGGGCCAGGCCTGCCAGCCTTCTTGCATCACCCAGATAGGCCCCAGCTGGTCCCTGGTAGTGGCTCCTCCTCCGGAAGCCCTCCTGGTGGTCTTCTGCAGCCCCCCTGGCCCTCCCTTCTCTCCCAGCCTCATGACGATCAGGGTAGGAAGGAGGCTTCCCTGTGCTTGCTGACGCAGTCAGACCCCTGAGACCTGTTCTGTCACGCAAAGCACAAGCGGCACCTGACTTTGGGCTGAGTCGGGATAATTTCCAGCCGCGAGTCCAGGCCCACATCAGGATGCGGCAGAGGTCACAGAGCCTGGCTTGCCCCAGAAAGACCTGGACTCAAAGTATTTGGGCAGGAGGCTGGTAAGGCACTGACGTCCCCAGGCCTTGCCTGTGGCTGTGACGGGACAGAGGACAGGTGGGCCTTGGGTGTTCACACCAAGGGGCATGAGGGTGAGGGGGGCAGGGGCCAAAAGAGTGGAGGGGAACCCAGGGTGGCAGCAGCAGCCTTAGCTACAGGCCGGCCTTGCAGGGGGGCTTGCAGGGGAGCCTGGTGGGGTTGCTCTGTGTGCTGGCCGTGAGGATGCAGGGCCTGGTCCCTCCGGATGCGGCCTCTGCTGAGTCCTGCAGTGGAAACACTCCTGCCGTGTATCGGGACAGGACAGACAGCTTCCTCCTCACCTCAGGGACAAAGGGGACTGTCTGTGCCTCGTCTGTGAAGCCAAGGTGTCCGCCCAAAGCGCTGTGGGGCTGAGGTGCTTCCTTCTTCCTGTGTCCGTCTGCTGCCCCTGGGGGTCTTGGGGACAGCTGGGGGAGGCGTTGCTGTAGGCGCTGGGTCCAACCTCTTTCCAGGTGGGGACCCGAGTGGCAGCTGTGAGCCCAGGAGGGCGCTCTTCCTCGCGGGCCAGGGGGGCTGCAGAAGACCACCAGGGGGGCTTCTGAGTTGCTGGTGGGCACTCACCTGGGGGCCGGTCCTGGGGGCCAACAGGCGCCCAGCAGGGGCTTGGCGTGGCCTCCGCCCTTGGAGGGATGAGCTGGGGCTGTTGCTTGACCCGCGTTAACTTTTAATTTAAAGTCTCTCACCAAAACACAATGGACTTTTGACATACAAATATTAAAAATTAAATTTCCCGAGTTCATTATCTGATAATTAGAACTAAATAACATCTTAACTGAGAGGCCAGCCCCACGCAGATCAAGTCAGTTCCATTTAAGATTCCATTAGACCAGTGTCGGAGCGATAAGTAATGGACCATAAAATTTAATTTGGAAATGATCTCGCGCCGAGATGGAGCGACAGCGCTTCACAAAGAGCGGCCGGGCCACGGGGCCCCGGCGGGGGCGGGATTCAAAGGCACCGCGGCGGCCGCCGGGAACATGTGTTCGCGCTTTCTTCCCTTTCTCGGCCCTGCGGTATTTAAAAGTCAGAATTGACCAGTGTAGCTCCGTGTAATTACAAAGATCCCCTTATCAGAGTCTATTTGCCGGCGCGAGGAAAGAGAGGCCGGAGCCGTCGGCTCATTTGCATGCGGGGCCCCGGCGGCCGCAGGAATCACCAGGATCAGCGCGGGCCTCGCTGCACCGGGAGGGGCCGGGCATGGGCGAGGCTGGAGGGAGAGGCGTCCCCGGGGCGGCCTCGGAGGGGCTGGAGGGGGGAGAGGCGTCCCCGGGGCGGCCTCGGAGGGGCTGGAGGGGGGAGAGGCGTCCCCGGGGCGGCCTCGGAGGGGCTGGAGGGGGGAGAGGCGTCCCCGGGGCGGCCTCGGAGGGGCTGGAGGGGGGAGAGGCGTCCCCGGGGCGGCCTCGGAGGGGCTGGAGGGGGGAGAGGCGTCCCCGGGGCGACCTGGGCGGGGCTGGAGGGGGGAGAGGCGTCCCCGGGGCGGCCTCGGAGGGGCTGGAGGGGGGAGAGGCGTCCCCGGGGCGGCCTCGGAGGGGCTGGAGGGGGGAGAGGCGTCCCCGGGGCGGCCTGGGCGGGGCTGGAGGGGGGAGAGGCGTCCCCGGGGCGGCCTGGGCGGGGCTGGAGGGGGGAGAGGCGTCCCCGGGGCGGCCTCGGAGGGGCTGGAGGGGGGAGAGGCGTCCCCGGGGCGGCCTGGGCGGGGCTGGAGGGGGGAGAGGCGTCCCCGGGGCGGCCTCGGAGGGGCTGGAGGGGGGAGAGGCGTCCCCGGGGCGGCCTCGGAGGGGCTGGAGGAGGGAGAGGCGTCCCCGGGGTCGCCGCCGCGTAGGGAGGGGTCCGCGCACCCTGGACAGGCCGGGGCTGGTGTCCCGGGGTCGCTCGGGTCTTTGCAGAGTGACGACGGCTGGGAAGGACCCCGCTCCTGAAGCCAGACCCAGAGCGGCTGAGACCTTTCCAGAAGCTGCTTCCGTGCTGAGTGCAGGGAGCCTTTCCAGGGAGCCTTTCCGCCCTGCCTTTCCAGCCGTTCCCTCCCCGAGCCTGGCTTCCGCCCTTCTGGGCTCAGCAGGCTTTGGACGCTGGTTCGATCCCCGCCCCTGGAAACCATCCCCGTGGCTTGTGGGTGCCGGGGCCGTGGCGCAGCCCCACGCTGACTGCAGAGGAGCCCTTGAGCCCTCGCCGAGCCCACGCACTCCTACCCTGTGCTGGCAACCTGGCCACCTGTCCCCTGGTCCACCCGCGCCATCAGGGCGGGCCCGGCGGCGGGGCCTCCAGCGACAGGATCCAGTAGCGGAGAGGAAGGAGGCTGAGGGACCCCACTCCGCGCCCGCCCCTCGCCCCCCCCTCCGCTAGGCAGAAGCCCCCGCCGCCAGACCCCAAGGAAGCGTCTAAAATTAATTCTTGTTCCCGCAGCAGCGGGTGACCCCGATGTGTCGGCCTCCACGGCTCTAGCCGGCAGCCGGCTCTGCGTCTTATCTCCAGAGCAGCCTCATTTGTTAACTTCTCGCTGAATACACCCTCTCCCATTATTTCTGTAATTCTTGGCAATAACAGCCCTTCCCCTAATGAAACCTGCATTATTGGAAGGTTGCAGTCCTGACCCGGTGAAGATTAGCTGTGTCCTCTGTTATTGCTACATATGTAATTGTATAATTGATTTTAAAATTTACTTTTGTGTCCCCACATCATAAAGTAAGCAGCCCATTAAGGGGCAGAAATATAATTAATATATCTGTAACCACTTCAACCTCGGGAAAACAAGGGCTGGGGGGCTCTGCCGGCCTGTGGGCAGGGGCGCCGCAGGGTCCACCCCTAGGCCTCCTACAGTCATGGGCCTCGGGAGGGGCTGTCCAAGGGGGTCCGAAGTGGGGTGGGGTGGTGCCTCCTCCAGCGGGAAGGCTGCCTGCCTGTGGCCATGCCCCCTCCAGCCGCCCCCAGGCCCAGTGGCCCTGCCCTTGCTGGAGTGTGGTTGTGGTGAGGCTGGACTGATCCCACGGGGGCCCTCTGAGGCTGAAGCCCCTGCCCAGCTGCCTGCATCGTGGGCACCCAGGGAGCAGAGGGGAGTGAGGGGCCCGTAGGAGGCTGCAGGGAGCTGGGCCCAGGCCAGCCCCTGTAGCAGGGTACATTCCACCGTGGTTCTCTTTGCCTTTGCCACCCCTTCCCAGGCACAAAGACACCCTGTGCCTGCTTGTCCACCCTCTGCCCTAACCAGACCCGGTACTCCATGAAGGGCCACTTGGGCGCCAGGGTCAGTGCCCATGCTGGCTCCAGAAGAGCCTGGTGCTGGCCCCCAGCCTTTGCAGCTACGCTGGCCGGCCGGGAGGTCTCCAGGGCTGGCTCCAGGTACTACCGCCTTTGAGGGGATGGAGAGGAACCAGGGTGCCGGGAGCCTGGAGACCTGGCCCAGGCGGAGGGAGGCACATAGCCTTTGCCCAAACACCCCTGTGGCACCCCAATTTAATGTTTTTTGTTTGTTTGTTTTTCTGAGACAGTCTCGCTTTGTCGCCCAGGCTAGAGTTCAGTAGCGCAGTCTTGGCTCACTGCAACCTCCACCTTCCACGTTCAAGTGATTCTCCTGCCTTGGCCTCCCGAGTAGCTGGGATTACACGTGTGCGCCACCACACCCGGCTAATTTTCGTATTTTTTATAGAGATGGGGTTTTGCCATGTTGTCCAGGCTGGTATCGAACTCCAGGCCTCAAGTGATCCATCTGCCTTGGCCTCCCAAAGTGCTGGGATTCCAGGCATGAGCCACCATGCCCGGCCCAATGTTCTTTCTTTTTATTTAAACAGCTTTATCGAGATATGACTTGCACAGCATTTAAATTGTAAAATTCAGTGTTTTTCATTTTCCACAGAGCTGCACAACCATCACCACAGTCCATTTTCAACATCTGCATCACCTCCAAAGAAACCCTGCGCCGTCCCCTCCGCAGCCCCCGGCGACCCCTCACCCCTCATCCAGATTTGCCTGCTCCAGGTGTTTCCCAGGAGCGGAGTCACGGAACACGCCCTTTGTTGCCGGCCTCCTTCACTGGCCACAGAGTCCTCAGGGTCCCCCCAGGCTTCAGTGCCAGCGTCCTTCCTTTTGATGCGTGTGATGCTCTGGGTGAGGACAGCCTCTGTGGGTGGCCAGCTTGCCCGGCAGTGCAGACTTGGGTGCCCCCACCGTGGTTGTCAGGGCGGCTCCCTGCCTGCTGTTGGCACGGGGTGGACGCACTCACAGGTGTGCAGACGCATGGATCACAGGTGTGCAGATGCATGGATGGGTGTGCAGCGCACACTCGCAGGTGGGGTGCTGGGAAGGGCCGGTGCCAGGCCAGAGCTGCAGAGTACGGCAGGGGCTCCTCAGCCTTGGGCCCTCAGGTGGCTTCATGGCCAGGGGGCCCTACTCAGAGGGTACCTGGTGCTGCCCCAGGAGGCCAGCTTTGCTGCACATAGGTCCTGGGCAGTCAGGCAGTGCTGCTGGCTGAGGGGCTGGGCAGGACGAGGGCCTGGTCTGCTTGGCCTCCCTAGGACAGCCTCCACACAGACAACAGCCCTGGAAAGGCCGTAGGCTCAAATTCACCAAGTGCTGCCCGTCCAGGGGCTGGTGCCACCGGAGAGGCTCACTGACTGCCCCTGTGACTGGTGAGCTCGAGGCAGGGGTGTAGTCTGCCCACCAGAGGACCTATGTTGCTCCCAGACAGACCGTTCACAGCCCTCTGGTGTGGATGGGGCTGCTCGTACATCACAGTCCTCAACACCCGGGTCTCTGGGCTCAGCCCTAACTGTCGGCCAGGGGGTGGGGGGCTCATCTGTGAGGAGCAGTTTTTGTCCCACAGGAGTGAGTGAGGGGTCTGAGAAGATGTCGTGAAGACAGGGCGAGAAACAAAAGTTTCATTTCAACTGGCTGACACTTTTACAGAAGCAAATATCAGCGACCCAGTGACAGGTGGTGGGTGTCCCTGAGACCCCTGGTGGGAGCTCTGTGGGTCACAGTGGCCACAGGGTCTGACCCCAGTCACCCACTGGGGGCCAGTCGCTCCCCAGAGCCACCATGGTGTGGGTGTGCCGGGGGGTTCTGCCTAGATGCCCAGGACAGCCCTGAACAGCCGCAGTGCCTGACACTGCAGAGAGCAAGCGTCTCCACCCAGGGCTAGCCCAGGTGGGTGGCACCTGTGGCTGCTGGTGGGCGGAGGGCTGGAGCCTGTTCTGGCCACTGCTGGCTGACTTCACTGCATGGGAGAAGGGCGCGGACCCTCCCGTGGTCCAGCTCCAGGGGCAGGATCGTCGCTGTTACCCAAGGCCAGCGGTGGCCTCAGACACAGCTAGGTGCAGAGATGCTATACTATACTCCCCGCTGCCTCCCTCCCCTGAGGAGGGGTGGCAGAGGGCCCAGGAAGATGCCTGGGGCTGAGAGGGAGAAGGCCAGCGGGACACCAGGAGCAGGGGACCTGAACCCCACATGCTGAACCCCTCAAGCCTCAGGTGAGTCCTGGCCCAGCCAGCCTGGCTTACAGATACACCCCGAGGGCACCCCTTCCCTCACTGTTGACCCACTCCAGGAGAGGACGCATCAGATAACCCCGTAAATCACACGTCAAAACACTTTTTAAAGGAAACCGCTGAAGAGACAGCGTTTCCTCAGCCTGGTGAAGACGCATATAGCAAAATCTATGTAAGAAAGCCGGCTACTTAATCACGGAGACGAAGAGCCTCTGCGAGAGATTGTTCTGCTTAAAAAATGTGGTGGCGACTTGCAAATATGTTTTTAGAAGCAATTTTATTACAAACTGTCCCATCGGATAGCGCCTGGAAAGTTATGGGGAGCTGTGTTCATTCTTCAGACGCTGGGACAGCAGCGGGAGGTTGTTACAGGAGGATTTATTCCAGCAGAGCTGGGGAGGGGCCCAGGCCAGGTGTCGAGGGGACAGGCTCCATCTGGGTCTGTGTCCTTCCCAAGGGGCCAGGTAGAGGGTCCCTGCCAGCCCCTCCCCTACTCAGTGCCTGGCCCCTCTGCCTCCCTCCTTGCTGGTGCCCCAGTAGAGGGGCCCTGGGAGTGAGGAGCTGCCGTCTGGAGGGAATGCACAGATCGCAAAAGGCCGGAGGGAGGCCCAGGCTCAGGGACACGGCACCCACAGTCTGGCTGACGGAGAGACGTGAACACAGCCACAACTCACAGAACACTTCAGAGGGACTCAGGCCCCAGCAGGAAGAAGCAAATCACAAGAAGCCCCTGGTGTGGCCCAAGAATTTCTCTTTTTTCTAAGTCAGGTGTGAGACCTGGAGTCCACAGGGACTGTGTGGGGTCTCTGACCTCTTCCTCCTGGCTGGAGGGGGCTGAAGCCAGAAGACACTCTCTGCTCCTTCTGCATTCTCCTCATCACAGTGTCTGCCTGGCAGCTCTGAGATGGCCCCAGGGATGCACACCCCTACGGAGTCCCCTCCCCTGGAGCGGGGCTGCGCCTAGCAATGCTTCTGGGTGATGTGGCAGGTGGGGAGGCAGCTCCTCTGAGAGGAGGCTGTAGAAAAGAGCATGCCTCTGTCTTGGGTGCTGGCTGGATTTCTCCCTCGCCTTCCTCCCCTCCCTGACCCTATCTCTCTCTCATCACTTCCCCTTGGGGGAAGCCAGTGGCTGGAGTGAGTCCACTCAGACAGCCTATGGAGAAGCCCATAGAGGCAGGAAACCGACATCCCTGGGGTATAGGCAGTGAACGTCGGTGGCTTGCCAACAGCCTCGGGATGTTCTTGGGAATGAATCTACCACCAGTCAGGCTTTGAGATGCCTACAACCATGGCTGACAACTTGACTGCAGTTTCACCAGAGACCTTGAGCCAGAACTACACAGTTAGGCTGCTCTCAAGTTTCCGAGGGTCCCTCAGTAACCGCGCAGGATAATAAATATTTGTGATTTTTAGTTACTATGTTTTCAGGCAATTTGTTATACAGCAATAGATAAGTAATACAACTAACCACCATAATCATCATGACCATCATCACCATCACCATCATCACCACCATCACAACCATCACCATCACAATCATCACCATCACTATCACAGTCATCACCATCATCACCATCACCATCACAATCATCACCATCACCACCATCACAATCATCATCATCATCACCATCACAATCATCACCATCATCACCATCACAGTCATCACCATCATCACCACCATCACCACTGTCATTATTATCACCAGCACCATCATCTCCACCACCACCACCACCATCACAATCACCACCATTGTCACCACCATCACCACTGTCATTATTACCATCACCATCACCATCATCTCCACCATCACCATCATCACCATCACCACCACCACCATCCATCACCATCATCACCGCCATCACCATCATCTCCACCACCATGATCGTCACTACCATCAATATCACATCATCACATCAGTATAATCATCACCGTCATCACCACCATCACCAGTGTCATCTTTGTCACCATCACCATCAATAACATCACCGCCATCACCATCACCATCATATCTCCACCACCACCATCACTATCACCACCATCACTATCACCATCATCACCATCACCAATACCATCACCATCATCACTGTCACTATCATCATCACCATCATCATCACCACCACCATCGTCACTACCACTATCATCCCCATCACCACCATCACCATCTCCACCATCACCATTGTTACCATCATCACCACCACCATCGTCATCACTATTACCACCATCACCACTATCATCACCATCACCATCATTGTCATCACCACCACCATCACCACTACCTTTATCATCACCACCATCACCATCACCATCACCATGACTACCATTACCATCATCACCACCATCACCACCACCATCATGACCACTACCACCACCATCACCTCAGTGTCACCACCATCACCATCATCACCATCACCACTATCACCACCAACCACCACCACCATCACTACCATCACTACCACCATCATTACCAACATCACCTCCATCATCATTGTCACTATCACTATCATCACCACCATAACCGTCATGACCATTACCATATCACCATCATCACCATCACCACCATCACCATCATGACCATCACCATCAACTGCCATCACCATCAACCACCATCACCATCATCACTACCATCACTACCACCATCATTACCAACGTCACCTCCATCATCATTGTCACTATCACCATCATCACCACCATAACCATCATGACCATTACCATATCACCATCATCACCATCACCACCATCACCATCATGACCATCACCATCAGCCATAACCATCATCACCATCACCATCATCATCAACCATCATCATCACCACCAGCATCACCATCATCACCATCACCACCACCATCATCCTCATCACCTCCACCATAGCCATTGCCATAATCATCATCTCCTTTCTTCCTGGTCCACAGCTCTTTTCACATCTGGTCTCTTAATAATCAGAACAGTCATGCAAGAGGAGGAAACTGGGACTCAGAGCTGGAGCAACTTCCTTACGGCCACCCAGCAGACATGGCAAAAACCGAGCTGAGGCCAAGTCTGTCGAACTCCAGCTGCTCCAAGGCTCAGGACAGGCGTGTGCTGGCCCATGTTCCCTGGAGGGCTCTTTAGTCCAAGATGGAAGAGTATGGCCACCCAGCTGGGACCAGCAAAGAGAGGTAGGAAGGGTGGGGTGATGAGGGAAGAGCTTCCTCCCAGCCTCACCCTTGAGCCTCAAGGACTGCTTTCCAGAGACCCGGCTCAGGCAGCCCTCACTCCCCAGACCCCCTCCATGTTCTGGTCCTATAAAGAAGGCCGGGCTCAGGCAGCCCTCACTCCTCAGTCCCCCTCGCTGTTCTGGTCCTATAAAGAAGGCCGGAAGCCCGGGCCCTGCCGGGGTCAGCAGGGGTGCCTGTGTGGGCAGCCTGGGGTGTGGGGAGCCAGACCATTTGTGAGTGTCCAGGCTGAACATGACGTTCAGTGTCCAGAGAGGCTGCAGGCGACGGCGCCATGATGGGAGAAGAGGCTGGCGGGCAGGGACTTGGAGGGCGGGGACCTCCAGGCGGGCTGCGGCAGCGGGAAGGGGCCCCAGCGGCTCCGGCGCCGCGCACGGGAGGGGAGGGCCCGCCGCCAGGTGGCGCCTCGCCCTGCTCCACCGATGTGGCCGCGGCTCCCAGCTCCCGGCGGCCCGGCCCCGCCGCCTCCCCACGGCCGCACCTTGCACCGGCACCGCGGATGGGCCCAGTTTCTACGGCAGCGGCGGTCGGCAGTCGGGCTGGGGCTGCCAGCGCGGGCCGCACCCTAGGGCGCACCCCGCTCATGCGCTCCACAGCGCCGCGTGCCCTGCGGCCGTGCTGGGACCCTCCTGGGGCGGTGCTGGGACCCTCCTGGGCGGTGCTGGGACCCTCCTGGGCGGTGCTGGGACCCTCCTGGGCGGTGCTGGGCGGGTCGGGGGGAGGGGGTGCGGGGGCCGGGCTGGGGCCGTGCTGGGCTATGCTGGGGCCGTCCTGGAGCTGTCCTGGGGCCCTGCTGGGCGGCGTTGGGCTGTCCTGGGCTATGCAGGGGACGTCCTGGGGCGGTGCAGGAGCCGTGCTGGGGCCGGGGCTGGACCCGTGCTGGGCTGTCCAAGGCTCGGGGACTGCCCGCACTGGCGCTGCCCCAGGGACCTGGTCCCTGACCCCTGGCTTCCCCGCTGAAGCCCGCCTGGCAGGCCTGTCGCCCCCACGGACATCGGCCCGGACCTGTGGCGCGCTCGGTCCCCATCAGGCCTGACAGTGTGGCCCTTTACCCAGGGCCGCTAATTGATAACACTTAATTAATCTGCCCAGGAGAGAGATCAAATGGGGCTGGGTCCCGGCGGCCGTGTATTGACCCGGTTATTTCAATTAACCGCGGGGCCAGGGACTGCTCTGCTGAGCCCACCCCAGCTGCCCCCGGCCCGATCCCCGATCTGTCTGCGGCCCAGGCCCCACCCCGGCGCCCCGCTCGGGGTCCATGGCCGGCAGCTCCAGGACCGCAAGGCTGCGCCTAAAGGAGCTGCTGCTTGCAATTAACTGCTTTATTTAGGGCATTTTTTTTTTCTTCAAACAGCAATTAGATTTCTGTAGGCTTTGGAGAAAGCAAATGACCAGCAGCAAGACACCTTATAAATCAGGCCCTGAGGGTGGGCGAAGCCCCACTTTGGCAGGTGGCTGGCTGCCCTGCAGGGGCGTGGATGGGAGGGCTGCGCCCAGAACTCCCTCGGGGCCTGTGTGGGCTGGAGCCACGGTCTCTGCCCTGGAAAGGAGAGTTTCGGGAGGCCTTGGGTGCTGGCACCCTATTAAATTGCAAAGCACCCACCCTCCCCTGTCCCGCTACCCTGCCCTTCCTCCCTCATTCCCTCTCACCTCCCCCATCCACCCCCCACCCTTCCTCTCCTCCCTCTCTCCTTCGCCTTCCCTCTCCTCCCCTACTCCCTTCCTCCCTATGCCCGCTCTGTTCCTCCTCCCTATGGAGCTATGATTGGACAGCCTAGGCCATGTGCCCATGTGTGGACCAATTACTATAGTTAGACAGATGGGGCACCATGATTGGACAGCCTAGGCCATGTGTCTGTCCCTGGACCAATCACTGTGGTTAGACATATGGAGCACTATGATTGGATGGCCTGGGCCATGTGCCCACTCCTGGACCAATCACTGTGGTCGTAAAGATGGGGTACTGTGATTGGACAGCTTAGGCCATGTGCCTGGCCCTAGACCAATCCCTGCGGTGGGAGAGATGGGGCACTGTGATTGGCGGCCCTCCTGACGGGGCTGGGGGACCGCTCTGGGGCGGGAGCCACAGCATCCAATGGGGCAGGGGTCGAGGCCGCCCCAGCTGCCTTGATGGCGGTCGTGGGACCCTGGGCGCTGAGCTGGGGCGCGGGCAGCCTGAGTCTGTTAGTCTCTGAGGCCCAGCCACGGAGGCCGCGCTCCGGAACCCTTGAAAACCTCGGGCCCAGCGACAGCCAGTCCCAGCTCCGGGATGGCCATTCCTGTTCTGTCCCCCTTCCTTTCCGGTTCCCAAGTGGCTGTGGTCTCCGGAGGCCCAGTGCAGACTCCTGGTGGCAGGGACTGGGGCGGAGAGCAGGCAGCGACTGCGGAATGGGAACAGGGCTTCCTCTTTGTCGAAGTCAAAATAAAACGTAGATGAATCTCTATGTTTCGTGTGTTTTATTTGAGAGGAAGGAATTGCAGTTCGGGGCACACACTCAGACCAGGGGCGCTCCCCATCTGAGAATAAAAACAAGGCTGCAGCTCAGGAAACAGGAAGGTCACCTGTGGCCCCGAGGACGTCGGGCATTGGAAAAGCTCGGGCCCGCAAGTCCCCACTGCTGGGCCAGGCCGGGCAAAGTCGGCCCCGGAGTTGCGGCCCTGATCGCAGTTGCTGCAGATGAGGCTGCCTTCAGGTGACAGCAGTTTCAGCAGCTGGACTTGCAGAGAATCACATTCCTAGAGGAATGTCTTGCACCCCGAGTGCTTTTCCCTCAGCCTCCTACTCTCATGTAGTTGGGTGTGACAAGAATGACCCAATTTGTAAGATCAACTTTCACAGGGTGAGGAAAATGTTCTGGAATTAGGCCGCGATGATGGTTTCACAACCTTATAAATACACTAAAAATCACAGAATTGCATGCTTTAAAATGGTTAATGTCATGTTATAGTTCAATTTGAAAAAGCAGTGGAAAATTTCTTACGAATTAATACTAAGAGAAACAACCCAATTCAAAACACACCAAAGATTTGAGGAGACGTTCTTACCAGAGAAGATACACAGCTGGTAAGTGAATACATGAAAAGATGCTCGACATTGCTAATTATCAGGAAAACGCAGGTTAAAACCGCACAAAGCTGCCACTGTGCACCTATTGGAGCAGCTGAAATTACAAAGACCAACCTTGCCAAGTGCAGGTGAGGACACGGGGGAGTGTGCGTGCATCGCGGTGGGGAGTAAAGTCGAACCGCCAGTTTAGAAACCAGCTCGGCTGTTTCTTTAAAAATTACATATACATCTACCCTACAATTTCACCATTCCACTCCTAGGCATTTACCCAGGGGAAATGAAAGTGCATGTCCACACAAAGACTTATACTTGAAGTGCATTGAACTTTATCTGTAACAGCCCCAAACTGGAACTACCCATATGTCCATCAAAAGGTGAATTGTAAACTGTATCACTGTGTATCATAACCACACAATGGAGTACTGCTCAGCTCAGCAACAAAACAGAACTACTGTTACTCAAGACGACATGAATGGATTACAAAATAATTGTGCTGCGTGAGAGAAGCCAGAGGGGAAAAGTGTACATTTGTACAAAATTCTAGACAGTGAAACTTAATCTACAGTGACTAAAGATGAGTGGTTGCCGGGCTCAGAGGAAAGGTGGAGAGGAGGTGTCAGGAAGGGACAGAAATGACTTCTGGGGGTGACCAGAATGTTTGTGTCCTGGGTCCTGGGGATGTTCTTGCTGGCATGGACGCATGGACACATGTCAAAACCCATAACATTGTACATGTTAAATATGTGAGGTTTGTTGTATGCCAATGATACTTTGATAAAGCTGTTTTTTTAAAAGGAGCCCATCCCTGGGGCTGCCCTGCTGTCCCTGGTCAGCTGCTCGTGTCCCTTCATAGGACAGGCAGGTGAGCACTGGATGAACCCGCAGCCCTTGGAAGGCCTTGAGCCTCTCCACTCCTCCCTGGCACTGAAGCTGGGCCTCCCTCCCGAGCCCCAAAAGCTAGGGGATGTGCAGATACCGAGATAAATGAATCCCAGCCAGCAGGCATGGGCAGGGAACACCCCGGGGACGAGGGGCAGCACGGAGCCCACAGAGGATGGGGGCAGCCAGGACTGCACAGTGGCTGAGACGGGGGAGGGTCAGGTCTGGTGTGTGGGCCTCTGGGGCAGGGCCTGGGCTCTGAGCATGGTCTCCCCCTTCCACTATCCATGCCCAGCCCCTGATGCCTGTGCCCTGCCTGCTGTCTCCACCTCCAGGGTGCCACGGATGTGGCCCAGGGCCGGCCTCGAGCCTCAGGTCTGCTACTTGCCCTGGGGGAGTATATACCTCACTCCCTGGCCTCAGTTTCCCTGCTTTTAAAAGGAGACCCCATGGGCTGTCTGCTCTTGACCAATGGGAGGCAAGCAAGCTGCTGCTGGAGGGAACATCTTGTTTGAGGCTGCCACGGTGCTCCAGAGACAGCCCCTGTGCTGCTGTCCCTCCAGGTGGAGTGCAGAGGAGGCCCGGAGGCCCAGGTACCCAGGAGCTCCCTGAGGAAGGGAGGGAGGGAGAGCCCTAAACGGAGCTCCCCCACTTCTTCCTCCCTCACCCCCATCTGCCCAGAGAAGATGGGCGTGCATCTCCCTCTCCCCAGGGCCCACCAATCAGGCTCTTCTCTTCCCAAATCCACTCCCCATCCCAGGCGACCGACCCAATCCCCGAGCCTCAGGCGACCGACCCAATCCCCGAGCCTGGAGAGACCTCGCTGGGACACCCTGCCTGGTTCAGCCACCTGCAGCTGTGCCCCACCCTTCAGTGGCGGCCCGCTGGGTGGTCCTGTCTGCATCTGAGAAGCTGAACTTTTCCAGCTGCCAGCCTGCCACAGCCCAGGGAAACAGGATTGCCCCAGACAGAGAACAGAGACACAAAGTGTGGAAAATTGGAGTGACAGCGCTGCACTGATTGCTTGTTGAATGAGTGAGCGAGCAGTTTGCAGGGAAATTTACATTTATATAGTGCATTTCACCAGGCTGGGTCAGGGCCACTGGCCAGATACCCGTGCCACAGCTGCTGGGGCCACACACCTGGGCCCCAGGAGGCTCCCCCATGAGCCTGGGAGGACCCAGGGTGGGCAGAGCCCGGCTGGGCATGGGGGGTGACTCCACATGGCTCTCTCAGGCTCCCCCTATGCACCGCTGCCTGCGGTCCAGGGACCTGTGCCCTTCCAGCACCTCCCACAGCTCTTCCCCCACCCTGCCCTGTCCCTGCTGACCCTCCCATGCCCCCCCACCCCAAGATAACAAGCCTCTCTAGAGCACGCCAGCCTCCCGCCTCTGCTGCCCCTCAACCTCAACTACGTGACCTCACATCCCTCACAGACGCCGGCCCGGCCCTAGCCACCCTGGGGACAGCGAGGACCTGCAAGGGCTGTTTCTCGGCTCAGGGGCAGACGCCATGCCAGTGCCAGCACTTACCACTTGGGCGTCCTGCAGTTAGGAAGAGAGAGTCAGGTGCTGCTACAGATGGAATCACCCCCCCAATCCTGGGATTCCTGTGTTGAAGACCTGACCCCCAGTGCCAGGCTACCTGGAGACAGGGACCCTGAGGGACTGTCATCTGAAGTGATGGGTGTCCCTGCAAGGAGAGAGAGACCTCAGGAGGTGAGGACCCAGTGAGAAGATGCCACCTACAAGCCAGAGAGAGAGGCCTCAGGAGAAACCAAACCTGCTGGCACTGGAGTCTTGGACTTCCAGCCTCCAGAAGTGTGGGAAAATAAATGTGTGTGTGTGAGCTGCCCAGTGTGCTATTTCCATCATGGCAGCGAGCTGACTAACACAGGAGTCCATGTGGAAAAGTGGAGGGGAAATGGCCATTTTTAAACGGATGATGTGGCTGTATCCCTGCAAAATCAACTGAAAACCACCTATAGCAAAAGCGTACGTCAGTAAGGAGGCTGGGAACAAAATAAATAAGCCCAAATCCACAACAACCAGAAAGAAAGAAAATTATAAAATGCTTATGAAGCTGGCCAGATGGCAGTGGCTCACAACTGTAATCCTAGTACTTTGGGAGGCTGAGGCAGGCAGATTGCTTGAGCCCAGGAGTTTGAGACCAGCCTGGGCAACATGGCAAAGCCCCATCTCTACCAAAAATACGAAAACTAGCTGGGTGTGGTGGCGTGCATTTGTGGTCCCAGCTACTTGGGAGGCCGAGGTGGGAGGAGGCAGGAGAATTGCTTGAGCCTGGGAGGTGGAGGTTGCAGTGAGCTGAGACTGCGCCATTGCACTCCAGCCTGGGAACAGAGCAAGACCTTGTCTCAAAAAGGAGAAAAATAAATAAATAAATAACTTAGTAAAAGATGTGAGCCCTGTACCAAGAAAGCTTTCAAGTTCTGCTGGGGGACACAAAAAGCAGCCCATCCCAGGATGGAAAGACTAAACGGAGCTTCATCCCTGAAGTCATTGCCAATAAAAAAACAACAGGATCATTCAGAACCAGACAAGCTGAGTCTGAAGTTGTGCAGAAAGTAAGCTTGCAAGAACAGCGGGAAGCCCAGAGAAGGCACGCGTGGGCTTCGGCATCCAGATAGGAGAATAGATCACAGAGCTACAGGGAGCCGCCATGGCACAAAGGACTCAGCACAAAGCCCAGCAGTGAGTCTACAAAAGAGAATACGTGCTGCAGGCACCTTCTCAACGGAGAAAGCAGAAGATGGAGTGAGTGCCTGGTGACCCCTTGGTACCTAGTTCACTTGCAATCAAATTAAACTATAGACGTAATCTCAGAGGAGACAAAACTTTTCTATGCAAACAAACACTATAAAAGATGGATACATTTGACTAATGTAAAATCATGTATTTCTTTTTTTTTTTTTTTTTTCATTTTTGAGACAGAGTCCTGTTCCCGGGCTGGAATGCAGTGGCATGATTGCTCACTGCAACCTCCGCCTCCCGAGTTCAAGCGATTCTCTTGCCTCAACCTCCCAAGTAACTGGGATTACAGGTGCCAGCTACCACGCCCAGCTCATTTTTGTATTTTTAGTAAAGATGAAGTTTCGCCAAGTTGGCCATGCTGGTCTCGAACTCCTGACCTCAAGTGATCCGACCGTCTGGACTCCCACAGTGTTGGGATTACAGGTGTGAGTCACTGCACCCAGCCAAAATCACGTATTTCTAAATGGCAGAAGTTGCCTTCCCAGGAGAAAAAGACGAACGGGGGCGGGGGGATTGCAACACGTGAGAGGAGTAAAAGGCTAATGTCCTCAAAAAACTCTCCCAAAAAGAAAGAAAGAGACGGCGATGGAAGAGCAAACCAGCATAGGCAGGAGTGCAGATGCAGGGTCTGGACCCCCCACAGTGGGACGGGATGTCTCGCCCCTGCTCCCCTCTGGAGTCCCACCCCTCTGAGTCTATCCCACTCAGGACCCCCAAGTCTCCCAGTCTTTGGCCCTGCCGAAGCCATCTCTGTCCTCTCAGGGCACAGCACGTTCATGGGGGAGGGTTAAGCCAGAATTGTCAACCTGAGAGCAGGGGGAGGGTGGCACGGACGCCTCCTGAGCCCCTATTATATCCCTCCCAGGCAGCACCAGGCACGTAAATGCTGGAGCTCCTGCCCCTGTGCGCAGCTGATGTTCTCCGAGGCCTCGTGGGGACACTGTTCTGGAAGCAACGCCAGCCTCCATGGCTGAGGCTGTTCCAGGCAGCCCTCCTGGGGGGACAGAGGCCCTCGGGACCCTGCTTCTGGAGGGCACAGGGGCCTCTGGCCAGGGAGCTGCCCCATCCCCAGAAGCCAGCCCTGTTCCCCAGGGTGCCGCCTGCAGCTGCTGTCAGCTCTGCGAGTGTTTTACAGAAAACACACTTTGATGAACTGAGTAGACAGGATGCCTTCGCACCTCACTGGGGTGTCCCTCAATTCTGCCAGCACAGGCGGTGGGCACTGCAGCAGGATGCCTGGCACCCAGTCGGGTACTGCCCCAGAAGTGGCATTTTTCTTGGGAGGCTATGGAGGACAACAGAGCCTGTGGCATTTGCATGTTTTGTGACACTTCTCATGCCAGGGCTGTGCACGGGGGAGAAAAGCAAAGGGAGCCGGGTCTCAGTCTCACCTGCAGTAATCCTGGCCCACGAGGCCGCTGCCAGGTCAGTGACAGGGCAGGGGGCAGGTGGCATTTCCTCTTGCTATGGCTGAATCTGAAGGTGCAACCAGTATCCAGAAAGCCCAGCTGAGGCCCACGTTGGAAAAATGAGAAAAAAGGGAGTTTTCTCCACAGTGGTCACAAGGATACTCTAAACATATGAAAATACGCTCCCCTCTTCTCCTGGCCCTCTGGGACCCGGACAGAGCCCCTCTCCTGAGTCTCGTCCGCCAAGGCTGATCTGACCTACTCCGTGGGGGCTGGCTTCCACCCCACTGCACTCCGAGAGGCTGTGGCTCCAGTCCCCCAGGGAGGGGTCAGCCCAAAGGCCCCACCAGGCCTGGCCCCAGTGCCCTGCTGCCAGCCATGACATCAGGAGGCAGGGCAGGGGGAAAAACTGGGGGGCCTGCGGACCCGGGGCCTCCCTGCTCCAATTGCCCTGTGGCCTGTGACTTCACCTTCGGGTGTGTGCTGCCCACTCTAGTGCCCCTCTCCAGCACCCCAGTACTCCCAGTACCCACGTGCCAGTGGCCCCAGAGGCCACTCTACAGCAACCCCAGTGCCCACTCTCCACTCCTTCAGTACCCACCCCCCAGTGACTCTAGTGCCCCCACAGTGACACCAGTGCCCACTTTCTCAGTGAGCTAGGAGGCAGAACTCAACTCCAGAGGTGGGGCTTGGACACTGGACCAAATCGAGGACTAGCCACAACAGATCTGGGGCAGAAGCATCTCCCAATAAGACACACTCACCAGTGTGTCATGTCAGTCACCACTGCCATGGCAAGGACCAGAAGTTACCGCCCCTTTCCATGGCAACCACTGACAGCCCAGATGTCACCGCCCTCATTCTGGAGAATTCTGCATAAACCACCCCTTAATTTGCATATCATTAAAAGTGGGCATAATGAGCACAGAGCTGCATCTGAGCCGCCACTCTGGATGCACTGCCCATGCGAAGCCCTGGTCTGCGAGGAGGGGCGCCTCTGCCTCTGCTGTGACCCCTGCCCTTGGATTCTTTCCTGGGGGAAGCCAAGAACCCTCCCAAGTTATGGCCTCGACTTTGGGGCTTGCCCGTCCTGCATCACCAATTCCCCCCCCACCCCCTGCAATGGCCCCAGCACCCCCAGTGGTCACCTCACAGCGACCAGCGTGCCCACTCCTCTTCCCACTCCAGTGCCTCCACCTCATGGCGCCAGCGCCCACCCTCCTGTGCCCCTTCCCCATGTTCCCCAGATCCCACCTTCTGGAGCTCCCCTGTGCCCCCATCCCAATGCCCGCAGTGTCCACTGCCCAGTGACCCCACCCCAAGGACCCCAGGAGCCTCCAGGTCCCAGCTCCAGGTCCAGGCCTCCTGTGGCCACATGGACAGCACAGCCTGGCAGCCACCTTGTCTTCACCCTGGGGCATTCTTCCTGGGGGGAGGGCAGAGGTCAACCAGAAGTCAGGCAGAGGTCAGCTAGAGGTCAAGGTGACCCTGGTGGAGGCCCCTCCCACCCGCTGAGCTGCAGAAGTCCCTGCCCACCAAGTGAGCCGTGATTGGCTCAAATCAGAGGCGGTGCATGGCCCCAGCTCTGAGGATTGGCTGAGGCACACCTGACCTCGGCCCATCCAATCAGATGAGGGCAGGCCGTGGTGAGGCCGAGGGTGGAGGATGCAGCTGCCCCAGGCTGGACACTGGCACTGAGGCCTTCGAGGGCGACGGGACTGGGCCGGCCCAGGGACCCTGTGCCCTCATTCCTGGTGCCTCTCAGGCCAGCCTGGGCTCCTGCAGAAGCGCAGCAGCCCCTCGGGCCCGTGCGAGTGGGCTGTGGGAGGAGGGCGCCGGCCGAGGGGCGAACAGGAGGACCCCGGGGAGCCGGGGGAGCCCGGGGTGTCCGGGTGATCGAGTCCTGGGGCTGCCGGGGCCTTAGGGGACTTTCGGGGCCGGTCACCCGCGGGTGGGTCCTGGCGTGCAGGGGCCGCAGGCTTGCAGGCAGCGGTTTGGGTGAGGGTGTGGGGCTGGGGGCAGCCGCTGAGGGTGGTCCCCGCCCTGCCCGGGGAGGAGCGCGGCTGCCCCGGGGCCCCCCACGCCACTGTGGCGGGAGTTTTTAATGCCACCCACGAGATATCAATCTCTGCTCCCTCCAAGACAAATGCCGTGTCAGGCCGGCTGCCTGGACCCCTTATTTATCACCATTTAATATATATTAAAGCGCTCACACCTCTGATTGCCAAAACAAACAAAAAAAAACTGCATCAATCACAGGCCGGCAACAGTCGGGAGGCAGGTGGGGCGCTCAGGGTGTCCCCTCCGGCCCAAACTCCCTTGGCCTCCCTGCCCTAGCAGAGGCCCGGTATCCTCCTTCGGCCCAGGTCACCCCCTACCACGTGCAGCGATGCCCCGTGGGCAGGCCAGCTCTCCCCACTCCCTCCCCCAGCGAAGCCATCGCGGTGCAGAGGACACAAGGCACAGAGGGCTTGGCCTGTAGCCAGCAAGAGTTCAAGAAGACACGGCGGCCTGGCACCACTTCCTGACAGATCTCCGAACCCATCACGGCCACCCTGTCCCAGCAGGTACTGCCTGCTGAGACTGCCTAGGCACAGGTGGTCTGGGGCTTAGGGACCCCCAGTTCAGGGAGCCCCCTACCTCACTCAAGGCGGGGCCTGGTTCTGGCTTTCCTTTCCAGGGAGCTGGGGCCCCGTGGCCTCCGTGTTAGGATGGGGAAACGGCATAGTTGTGATGGACCCAGGGCAGACTCTTTCACCTGGAGAAACGGACCCAATTCCAGGGAAATGTTGAAATACAGAGCAGCGATTGTAGTCGGAGACGGTGGGGAGTGGACAGACCTTTTCCTGTCAGGTGCGTTGGCCGCCGTGGACTTGCGAATGTGGGCAATAGAGACAAGACTGAACGTAGCCGGAGGCGGAGCCAGGATCCTCGGGGCACAGGCGGTGCATGGAGACCCATAAATGGAGAAACTGAGGCCTGGGCCAGGCAGGCTCACACCCTGATGGGCAGCCTGTACATCAACGGTCCCTCCACCCCCAGGTGGGGACGCCCCTGGCCCTGTCCCCACCCATCCCCTGCCTCTGCCACCATCCCTCTCCGTCACCACTCCCCCCTCCCATCTCATCATGAGACTCTCTTGGTCCCCTGGGGGTGGAGCCCTTGGTAGCCCCCAGGAGTGGGGGCTGCTGGGACTGCAGTGGGAGGGGAGGGGCATGGGCTCTGGCCACTAAATCAGTCCACGCTTGTCACCAGCTCTGGGCCGCGGGAGCCGCCCGAGCGGAAATAACAAATGGCTGTCATTGTGGAGCCAAAAACCTGTGATTATAATTATCACATCCTCAGTGACCTTGCGTAAACTTTAATCCCTCTCCAACGGAGCATTTAAATAGCCTTCGCTGCGTGCCACAGAGCCCCCCGGCGCGCCTGCCGTGCCCCCAGCTCCTGCAGCTGGCTCCCAGGGAGCAGGGACACCTCTGGAGCCACCATGTCTGCCATGGAGCTGTTCACAGGCACTGGGCTGGGGGTGCCTGTGGCCAACTTCTTATTGGGCTGGGGCAGCAGGTGGGGGAACAGGGTGGGGGTCGGCCAGGGAGGTGGGGAGCCAGGCACTGCCTCCGGGATCCTCTGACTCACTGCATCCTGTGGCCTGGTCCTGGGGTGAGGACAGGGGGTCGGAGGCCACGAGCTCTCCATCCCCTCGCCCTCCAGAGGCTGGGCACGTAGCCCACCAGCCAGCTTCTCCTGGAGGGCCCCTGGAAGTCCCTCAGTTGGCCTCGGGCAGCACCCTATTCCCCTGTTCCTTGGCCAGCCTTGGAGTGGTCCGGGCCTGAGTGGGCTGAAGGGTCCTCGTGCAGCCTCAAGGTTCTGGCCTGGGAGACCCTGGGGGTCCCTCAAGAGTGGCTCCCCTCTAAGAATGTGGCAGGATGGGGACCCTTGGGGCCTGGGACTGTGGTCCCCCACTGACTCAGTGTGGCTGTTCCAGGTGGGCATCCACACCTGGAGTCCCACAAGGGTCGTGAGTGGTCGGGATTGAAATGGTGGCTTCCCTGTAGCCTTCCAGGGCCCCCAGCACACACCCCTTCCCAGGCCAGGGAGAGCTCTGGGGCCGAGCTGGGCCTCCAGGCCAGTCTCCTGATCACACACGGGCTTTGGACTCGAGGCCCAGAGGGCCAGGTGTCAGTGACCTTCGTGGTGCCCCAGTAGGCCCAGACCCAGCCCTGTCCCTCTCCAGCCCCTGACATGAGTGTGCCCTTGCTTGGGGAGGTGCTGCAGGAGGGACTGAAAACTCTCTGAACTCCTCCCTGGCCCTCTGGAGGCAAGGGGCTTGCGGCAGAAGCCCCCAGGGCTCGGCTGGTGCCCACTCCCTTTCTCCCCACTCCTCTCTTCCCTGCAGGAGGAATTGCCCCTTTTCAATATCACTTCTCTGCAAGATGTCGGAGCCATGGGGTCAAACGTGCCAAGGACGTTCCTGCAGGCTTCGCTCAGGGCAGGGGCAGAGGGGCACTCGATGCCAGTCACCAAAGGCACTGACAAGTGCTGTTGTAAAGAACATGACTTGGTTTGAGTCCTGAGTTCTCCAGATCAGTGTGAGCAGGAGCCCCTTGCTTTCGAAGCACCCCCATTACCTTCCCGGGGTTGGAGGAGGGGTGGAACTTCCTTCTCCCCTCCTGGGGTCACACCCCGTGCCAGGTTCTGGGATAGCCAAGACCTGGCAGACGAGGCCTCTGCCCTCCCTAGAGCTGCCTGGCATCAATCAGGTCATGCCAAGTGCGGGTGTGCACCGTGAGGGTGGCTGGAGCCTTGAGCGGTCGGGGGGTCCTGAGGGAGTCGGCCAAGCAGAGGTGTGGATGCAGAGGGGACGTGACCAGCACACGGGCAGGAAGGGGATCCCAGGCAGAGGGAGCATCTCATCTCTGAGAGGGAGAGGTGGGTGCTAGGACTAGTCAGGCCAGGCCCTCTCCTGGGCCAGTCTGCCTCTCCTGCCCTCACCTCCCATGCCCACACGCACACCTGTCCCCAGCTGCTGATGCGGGTGGCGGGCTGGGCAGGTGGGTTGCAGATCAGGAAGCAGTCACAGTGGCCTCCTGCTGTCAGGGTGTCCATCAGGCAGGTAGGGGGGTCCGTGGGGCACCCAGGTGCTATACCCGTGCCCCCTGGTGGTTCCTCAGCCTGGCTTCCACTCACAGCCTGCAGGTCACAGCCTGTCCCCAAGGGGCTCCCCTACTCTGCCCCAGTCCCAGTGCTAGGCTCTTCCCAGAACCAGGCCCCCGCCTACACGGTCCCCCAGCTACAGGTGCGGATCTCAGTGTGTCTCCCGGGTAAATCCCAGCTCATCCCTTAGATCCTATAGTTATCCCCCAGGAAGGTGTCCCCACCCCTACCCTGAGCACCCAGCACGGCCTTGTCCCCAGGGTGGCAGGAGGATGGCAGGGGCAGGAGAAAGCCACCAGGGAGCTCTCCCTGCAAGCCCAGCCTTGCACACAGCTGGAGCTCAGAGACACACCCAGGGTGGGACTGAGACCTCTGGATGGTGGTATCGAGGTGCCTTCATGGGGTGATTGGGGGACAGGCCAGGCCCTGCACAGCTGCACACACATTGGCACATGCAAACACACACATACGATGCCTATATACTCATGCACATGGACACACGTATGCACAGTTACACACAAACACGAGTATGGTAACAAGAGCACACCTGAGTACTTGGACACACACGAACACAAGTGCATGCGCACACACACATGCACACTCAGACATGTACACTCACCGTGCTGCGAGTGTGAAGGGCTGGGCCCAGGCATGGGTGCTGACTGTGGAGCAGGGGCCTGGCTGGTCTGGGACAGCAGCTGAGTCTGCAGATGGGGACAGGCCACCAATAGCAGAGGGGCTTGGAGGGTCCAGGCCCAGCCCTGAGGAGCCCCAGAGCCCAGGGGTGGAGGAAGCCGGGCCTGCCTCAAGGCTGGAACAACTGTGACCAGCGGTGGCCTGTCCCAGGGGGAGGCGTGGCCACCAGGGCCAGTCCAAGGGGTGGAGGTCCAGGAATGGAGCTCCTGAGAGCCGCTGGCCTGTACACCACCCTTTCAGGGGCCTCAACTGGCCAGGCTGCCAGAGGCAGGTGTGGTCAGGGGGCCGCTCAGCACTGGGATGGGGATGGAGGCCTTGACACACACTGTGGGGCCCAAACCATAGGCCTTAGGGGTGGAAACAACCTCAGCTGGTTCCAGGCAGAGGTTGTTCATCCTTCCACCTACCTGCCACCAATTCATGATCCTCTCTCCTTTTATCCACCGTGCGCTCATACCATCTGTTCGCCCCTTATACATTCATCCATCAAACTATAAATTTATCCATTCACTCATTCATTAGCTCATCAGCTCTTCCGTATGTCTATCTATTCACCTGTCCATCCGCCCACCAAGCCTCCATCCACCTCTGTATATTCATATATCCGTCCACCTGCTCGTTCATCAATTCATACACTTACCCATGCATCCATTTCTCCATCACTCAATTGGCCCATTTATGTGACAGGGGCTGGAGTCTGGTGCCCATGAGGCGATGCCTGCCTTCACCAGGAGCACATACCTTCACCCAGGTCCAGGTGCAGAGCCTTTAATGGGAGAATGAGGAACTTCTCTTTTTGGTTATCCTGGATTTCAGTGAGTGAAGAAGTAAGGTCAGCAGCTGAGATTGAAGAGTAAGCAGAGGGTGTTAGCAGTTTAAGGAAAGAAGAGACTGGTGAGGGGAGAAGTGTCCCTGAAAGCAAGAGTGCGAGTGAGGAAGAGAAAAGGAGCAGGATTGCTGGGCAGTGTTAAGCAGCCCCCGGAGGCTCGTGGCCGTAGATTTACCCAAGTTCAGCATGATTGTGTGTTTGTGTGTTTGTGTGATTGTGTGTTTGTGTGCAGCCACATTCCGCTGCTCAAGTTCATCTACACATTGACCCACCTATCCATCCATCTACCCAATCCATCATCCATCCCCCTACCTATTCATCCACCCATCCAGCCACACCCCCATCCACCTGCCCACCCCTCATTCTTCCATCCATCTATCCACTCACCCACCCACCTGTCCATCCACCCATCCATTCATCTATCAATCTATACATTTATCCACTTGTTCATCTCTTCATCTGTCCATCCATCACCCACCCCCCTCAACTGATGCAGACAGGAGACAGGGAAATACTGAGTGGAAGAGAGTGGTTCCCTGGCAAAGACCCCACCCTCAAGCCTGGAAAACTGAAGCCTTAAATGGGAACAGGCATTCCTGTTTTTTCACCCAAATGCTGCTTTGTGGCCCACCGCACGACCCTATCCTGTACTCATGTAAACCCCAAACCCAAGGCTCCACAAGCAGATGAGCAGAAGAGCAGAGAAACAGCAGAGTGGTGCCGTAGAGAAGGAGAGAAGAGAAGGAACATCTGAACGTCAAGAGGAGCTTGGCTGGGGACGGTGGGAGAGGAGATCAGCCGCGGGACAGCTGAACTCCAGGGGTAGATCATCTTCCCACTCCGTCTCTTTTCCAGCTTCCCATCCATCTCATGGAGAGCCACCTCCATCTGGCAATAAAATCCCCCACATTTACCATCCTTCAATTTGTCCATGTGACCTGATTCTTCCTGGATGCCCGACAAGAACCTGGGTACCAAGAGGGCACTGAGCTGGTTAACACTTAAGCTGTCTGTGGATGGCAGAGCTAAAGGAGCCCTGTGACACACTCACTGGGGCTTCCGTGCAGGCACCATCCCTAGATGCTACTGTGGGGTTGAAACCCAAAAGCATTTGCTCCAGCTCCTGCAGCTGCTCAGCTGCATGTTCCCCCTCCCATAAGAGATTTGAGTGCACAGCGGCCGAACATACGAGCCACACCCCTGTTGCATGTCCTGTGAGGGGGATCAGGGAACACGCCCATTTCATAACTATCTATCTATCTTATTTATTTCTTCATCCACCCATCCATCATCCACCCTTCCATCCACCCACTCACCCATCCGTCCTTCCATCCACCCACTCACCCATCCATCCATCCATTTCTTCATCCATCATCCATATCTTCATCCATCCTCTATCATCCACCCATCCATCCGTCCATCTATCCTTCCATCCACCCACCCATCCATCCATCCATCATCTACACATCCATCCATATGTCTGTCCATTCATTTATCTCTCCATCCATCCATTATCCATCCATCCGTCCATACACCCATTTCTTCCATACATACACCCATTTCATCCATCCATTCATCCATCCATCATTTACACATCCATCCATACATCTGTCCATTCATTTATCTCTCCATCCATCCATCCATTATCCATCCATCCATCCATCATCTACACATCCATCCATATATCTGTCATTCATTTATCTCTCCATCCACCCATTATCCATCCATCCATCTATCCATACACCCATTTCTTCCATCCATCCATCCACCCATCATTTACACATCCATCCACACATCTGTCCATTCATTTATCTCTCCATCCATCCATCCATCCATCATCTACACATCCATCCATACATCTGTCCATTCATTTATCTCTCCATCCACCCATTATCCATCCAGCATCTATCCATACACCCATTTCTTCCATCCATCCATCCACCCATCATTTACACATCCATCCATACATCTGTCTATTCATTTATCTCTCATCCATCCATCCATTATCCATCCATCCATCCATCCTCTACCTATCCATCCATACATCTGTCCATTCAGCTCTCCATTCATCCGTCTATCCATCCTTCCATCCACCCATCCATCCACTCATTCATCCATCTGCTCTTCCATCCATCACACATATCTCACCCCTCCTCCATTCTAGGGAATGGTATGAAGGACAGGACACTGTTCCTGCCCTGGAAGAGGATTAAAGTCCCAGGTGAACAGAGGGTACAAGTGAGTAAATGTGGAGGGTGACACTGTGGTCATGATGCGCAGCACTCTTTGTGTCTCTGTGGTTGCTAGAGGCTGAGCACCAGCTCTCCACCATTCCCCCACATCCTGGACTGTATCTTAGACCACTCAGTTCAGGAATGGTGTCCCGGGCTGCCTGTCGAGCTGGGTCTGGGCTGTGGGCAGGTCCCTTTCCTTCTTCCCACTCACTGCCCCTTTTGTTGTCTCCCACCCTTCCAGGCCAGGTTTGGCTCCCTGGGGGCTGGGCTGCAAGGCCCATATGTTCTGTAAGCTACAATAAAGCAAGGCCACATGGAAGCAGTTCGTGTTCCCCATGTGTCTCCGGACTCCCTCTGCCCTGCGGTGGGGTGGAGCTGGGGGGGAAGCGGGAGCCCGAAGCCCCTCTAGCAGTGGCTGAGCTGTCTCTGGACCCACAGAGGCTGTGGCTCCTCAGAAGGAAAAGCCTTGAGCCCCAGCCAGCCTCCAGCACCCAGGCTGGGCTGAGCTTTTCATCAGGGGCCTCACCACGAGGGACATTGGGGGTGAGGAGGCAGAACTCAGGACATGCAGCCAAGGAAGACCTCCCGCCCCTGAGCTGGCCCCGCACGATGGCTAAGGATGGCAGGGCCTTCCCACGCCTTCCCTGGAAGACCTCACGCAGCCCAGCCGGACAGGTAGGCCCAGCACGGCTCTCATCCCACTGTGTAGATGAAAACAGGTTCGGGAAGCGGCGCCCACAGCCAGAGGAACTGTCCATCCTCCCTGGCAGGGCAGGGCAGCCTCCCCACATCCACTGTGGCCACACATGTGGAGGCACTCACACTCCCTGACCCGGTGTCGTGGCTGAACCCGGCTCGTGGCAGCCTGTCACTGCTCTGCACCTGTCTGGGTCGCAAGGACCAGGCTGTGGGCCCCTCCCTGAGCAGCCCTAGGGTCTCCACACTCCAAGGCAGGGTTGGCTACGGCCTCAGGGCCACAGAAGGGCCCCTGCCCCCGCCTGTCCAAGCTGCAGCCTCTGACCTCGGGGGCGGTGGAGGGGGCGAGGCAAGAGCGCGTTCTGGGTCGTGGTGGGGCCGGGCCCTGGGATCCCTGATCCTCGGCCGTCGCACGGTGCCCTCCATGCCCACCCGGCAGTCGCACTGAGACCCGGGCTGCAGCCTCACCGTGAGCCTCCTTCACACACAGTGACCTTGAAATGCAGGAGGAGTCCCGAGTGATCAGGGGAGAGTGTGTGCTGTATAAATTTCATGCTCTTCATAACGACATTTGTCTGCTGCCCGGCTCCCCTAGGCCGCACCGTCAGTCTCCCAGACACGCTCGCCTCCCGCCCCTGCCCAGAATAACCTAAAACCCGAAAAACTTCCATCACTCCTGCTTTCTTCTTAGAAAACACTCAATATCTCAATCTTATCAGACCCGTTATTTATGTGTCTCTACTCCCAGCAGATGAAACGGGACCGCAAAATCCTCAGGCCGTGCCTCCAGCAGCAACAGACAAACCCGCGAGGGGCTCCCGGGGGAATTCTGGGAACGGGTAGGTCCCCGACAGGAGCCGTGCTGGGCCTCCCATTGGGGTCCGCCCTGCCCTGGATGTCCACTCCACCGGGCTCCCGGGGCTGATGAGAACCTGGTGCCTGCACACCCACCCTGCGCCAGCTCTGGAGGGCTGGGCCCGCGTGAGGGTCACACTGTAGGGCAGTTTGGTGGCTCCAGTGACATGCACGGCTCTGTGGCCCTATCCTGTCCCCCTCACACAGTCAGAGCTCCGCCGGCTCACACACAGTCAGAGGCCTGGAGGGACCCTGTTGATGGCAGGGGCAGAAAGGCTCCTGGTGCTCAGGGAGGCTGGTGAGGCTGGCCTATGGGCCATTGGCCAGGCGAGGTGGCCCTCCAAGGTGGGCGTGGAACCGCTGCCCACCTCCCTCTCAAGCCAGACACCCTGCGTGGCTCTGATGCTTGCTCTCCAAGCTCTGGGGAGAGGGGCCCGTGAGGTCGCAGACCTCAAACGTAAGCATAAACAAGCGTTTTCCCCAACATACAAGACATGCAGATTTGATGCTGGGTGCCGGGCTGGGGGGTGATGGCGGGGAGGGCCCCTCCGTGGAGGTGGCTTCACTTAGGAGGTCTGGGGAGCGGAGTCCGGGGTCAGGGGTGGAACCATGGACAGTGGTCCTGAGGCGGGGTGTGGGGGCCTCATACCCGTCTCGCACACAAGCGTCTTCCTGAAGATGATGGGTCTGAATGTAACATAGTAAATGGGAAGTTAGAAGACGTCACTATCAGCCACAGGTGGGAGAAAGATTTCTCAAACAAATGTTCGAAAGTATAAACTAGAAGGTAAAACTGGACACACATTTTGATGCCATCAAATAATTAAAGATTTTGCTGCACAGAAGCGAATGGACGGGCCACACTGGGAAGGACGTTTGCGATGTCTAAAACCGACAGACACTTGGTATCTAGAACTCCACACATCAAATTACACAGCAGCACGACGACGCGGCCTTGGCCGGAAATTGGGGACGACGCCAAATGGCAATTTGCAGCAGGGAAAACCCAGGAGGTGCAGAGGCTGAAGTCGTTAGGAATCCAGACATGCAAATAAAGCCACGCTCCGTGCCCATTGGACTGGTGAACACGGAGGTGCCCGTCGTGCTGAGCACCGCCAGGATCTCGGGGGGCCCCGCGTCCTGCAGGGAGCCAGGATTGGGGGGTGGGTCTGTCTCCACGTCATCGGCCAACTGTCCTGGAGGGACCTGCAACTTCCCGCCCAAACCCAGTCACTCTTGCAGCCAGAGGGACAAGTGGCGAACACTGGCGAGCAAATACTGGCAAACACTGGCAAACACTGGTGAACACGGGCAAACACTGGCAAACACTGGGGTGTCTGTAGACTCTTAGGGATGTGCAATCTCTCTGCCTAGGGTCAGCAGCTCCCCAGGAGGCCCCGAGGTCCCTGAGTGCAGGCCCCAGTGCTTGCTGTGGCCACAGTGGGCACCAGAAGTGGGTGGGGGAGGGAGGGGGCTGTCCTCAAGAGAATGTGCAGCACTCACAGCAGCTGGGAGCCCCAGACCCTGGACCCCTGGGCTGGTCGGGAAAAGCCTCCTGGAAGAAGCAACCTCCTGGCAGATAGTGGGGAGGGCTGGCCAGGAAGAGCTGTGGAGGGGGGCTGTCCCTGTGCCCTGCGCTGCTGCCCCCCAGGACATCGCAGGACTTCCTCCCGCTGCAGAGCCTCGGCCTTTCTGGGAGTTGGGCAGAGGGGGCTCCTCATATCCATCTCGGGAGCGCCCGCCCGTGCCAAGTGGCCCAGGGCCTTCATCATCAGATGCGAAGAACCACATCGTCCCCTAGTTCCCACATGAACCGGCACTGTCCGGGGCAGGGTGGCCGGCACAGCTGGCTGGCAGAGTCCGGGGCCTCGGCAGGTCACTGGTAATGGTCCCTGCCAAGGTTCCCTGGGTGGCCCCATGGGTCTGATGATGGCTGAGGTGCAGGAGTCCCACCTCCCAGACTCTGAGGCCCCGCTACAGGCTCTGGCGTGTGGCAGCGGTGGAGAAGACCCGAGGTGTGAACCTGTGGGGCGGGGGGCTGCAGAGGCAAAGCCCAGGCAGGGATCCACCAGAAAGGCAAAGGACGGAGATGGGGCTCTCTGCCTGGCGAGCCCCCAGCTGGCAGAGGCCCCGTTCGCCAGCACAGCTGCCACGGGGGATGGAGCCGCACTGGAGGAAGCAGCATCAGACGTAAAATAAATCTCTTAATAAGATTACCGTGGCTCGGCTCGGCACCCTCTGTGCGTGCGAAAACCTCCTCGTGCTTCGGCGATGAGGGGAGAGGTCTGTTCCCAGGAGGGGCCCGGCGGTGCCCACACCACCGACGTGCGCCCGGCCCCACGGAACTGCAGCAATCCCATGACAGTGATGAACCAGCAGAACAAAGAATCTGCCCCCAAAGCAGATTCCGCCTCTGCCGCAGGGACCAAGGGCCTTCTCCTGACTCATGAGGAGAGAGACCATGTGCCGCTGGCCGTCACAACTTGCCTGCCTGGTGGACTGAGCCCAGCAGCTGGGCAGCCTCCTGGGGAGGGTTCCAGGGGCCAAGAGACATTGAGGCTAGCAGAGGGGCTGGAGAGGGAAGTAGAAGAGAGGAAGAGGGGAGTTCAGATCTTGGTTCCCGCAGGCACTCTGGACCTCCATACCTGACTTCATCTCTGTGGCCCAAATTCCCCAACTGGAAAATGGGTACAATCAAATCTGCCCTGTCAGAGGCACCGTGGGAGCCTGCCCTCCCACCCTCAGGCGTCAGGTGCTGATGTAGCCCACCTCCAACCTCGGTGGCCCACTGAGCTCCAGGATGGGTGCCTGACTGAGCTGAGACCACCACGTTCCTGCTCCTGGGGTGCAGCCGCACACAGCTGAGAGGCAGGCAGGGTGGGAGCCAGGAAGGCCAGTTTGGGAGCTGGTATGCCTCAGGAGGAGGGTGTGCCACCAGCTCACAAAGGGAGAGCATGTGGCTCCAGAGGGAGACAGAGGCACTGCCAGGCCCCTGTGCTGCTGGTAACAGGAGCCCGCACTCACAAAGCATCACGGGCAACTGCCTGCTCACACAGCCAAGTGGGCTGTGACCTGCCTGCTTCAGGCATGGTTGGATCCAGCATCTCAAAGCAGAGACCAGGCTGCTTCTGCCTGTCGGGGTGGCTCAGAGGCCTTTCTGGGGGGCAGAGGCAGTGAGACCCAGTCCCAGCTTGCACCCCAGGCTGCTGGATACTCAGGTGGGCCCTGGAGGGGAGCAGGGGAGCGGGAGGAGAGGGCTCCATCTAGGTTGTGCTGGACCCTGGGAACAGATGGCAGCTGAGATGGGCACTGTCCCCCAGGAGGACAGCCGGTCAAGGGGGTGCAGAGGCCCGAGGGAGACACCGTTGTGCCCCAGGAGGACGGCGGTCAGGGGGACGCAGAGGCCCGAGGGAGACACCCTGATGGTGGCACAGCTGAGTCTCCCATGCTCAGCATGTATGCCGTGAAGCCCCACTCCTTCCCCAGGTGGAAGAGGAGGGGCTGCCCCAGCTGTGACCACAGCTTGCAGGAGGCCTCAGGTGAGGGGGTGAGGATGGCCCCTCTCTGCAGGCAGGGGTCAGTGTGGGGGTGGACACCCCTGAGTCGGCTTGACACTGGTGCCCTGGGGCTGCTTAGCCTCTGTGAGCCTCAGTTTTTCCATCTGTGTGGGAATGCGCCCGTCCAGTGTGATAAGGCGTCACATGTGAGCTCCCGGGGGGCTATTCGGGCTCTGAAGGAGCATCGGAGGTGAGGAGGTGAGGTCCAGCACTGCAGCTGCACTCGGGGGTCCTCGGCTGGGCACGCACTGGCCCTGGGGGGGAAGATTCTGCCAGGGCCCTCAGCACGCCGGGAAGGGCCCAGTCTGTCACCCAGGCTTGTCCTTGGCTCTCACCACACAGCCTGGGGCGGGGCCTCCCTGCAGCCACACGGCCACCCGGGCCTCGGGCCGCCAGGCACTGCCCTGTCCTGTAATGGGAGGGGCCCTCAGCTCCCTGGTGGTCCGTTTGTAGGGGAGCCCCCTGCCCACTCCTCTACGCCAGCCATCGGCCCTCTGAGGGGGTGCCGCACTGCCAGACCCTGGCTCAGGAGCCCGCGAGCTGGGAGGAAGCAAGTTTATTACCTTCCACAACGTGATAAGCCCGCGCTGATTGCTGCATTAAGGGACAGGACCGCTAGGCTATAAATTACAGGGGATGTTCTCACGTGTCTGTCTCTCCAGGGCCAGCCAGGAGAAGTTAATTATTTTTACAGGTCCAGACAGGGCACGGGGTGATCAGAATGCCAGGTCCTGGGTCCAAGCCACACAGAAGCCGCCCCCTGCCTGCTCCGAGAGCCAAGCCCAGCGTCCTGGGAGAGGGGGCCGGCCGCGCCTGCCCGGGGTCCGTGTGCCAGCCCCCGGCTCCTCCTGCGGATGAGCAGGTGGGGGAGTTGTTCCTGCCCACAGAGGAGTGGGCTGAGCGCTTAGTGGCCGGCGGGCCATCAGTGACCCTGAGGAAGCAGGCTTCCCCCAGTCGCCCACCACAGCCTACATTACAAATACATAAATCATAATGTTTCAACAAAAGCAAAATTTAATTTTCTCCTTTCAGCCGTTATCTGGGCCGGGTGGTATATGGCAGCCTGCGCCCGCTCATTCATTACGCCCGCTGAATGGATAATGGCAGGCCGAGTCGATTGCAGCCGGCTTTGTGAGGCCTCTGAATGTGCTGTGCAGCCTGTGGCGGCCCAATCTCCCCGCATCTGTAATAGATACACAGGACTCTATTATTCCTTGCCAGAGCAAAATTAAATAGTTGTGTGTGTGCCGGGGTGGGGGCCGGGGCTCCGGGAGGCGGGAGGCGGCGTCGCACCAAGAGACCCGCTCAGCCGCCAAAGCACCCCCGGCACCCACAGAGGCTGTCCCCAGCCCGGCAGGTCCAGGGCCCCGGAACAGCTCCAGCTCCACGGTCAGCGACCCCTGCCTCCGTGGCCTCTTGGCCTTCCCATACCCGCCATCCCACGGGACGGGCCCATTTCACAGACCCAGGACACTGAGGCCTGAGCTGTGCCCTCCTTTGCTCTGGGTGTTCCTGTGGGACAGTGGAGTCCAAGGCTCCTTGGCTCGAGACCCAGGGACAGGGTGATTGGGATGAGAGGCTCACGTCAGCTTGTAAAAAGGGGGCTCCTGCACCCCACCCACCTACGATCCGTCCATGTCCCTTCCTGTGTGGCGGAGCCCCCTCCACCTCCAGCCTGCAGACGTGCCCCAGCCAGGCTCATGGCCTGCCATGCTTCTCATGGGGCGGGTCTGCTGGCCAATGACCCCACCCCGGGGTTCTGAGAGTCGGGAGCTGGGAGTGAGCTCAGATCTAACCCCCTCCCACCTTCCAGGTGGTAGAGCTGGGAGCTGGTCCCCCTTCCCAGGGGAGGGACCTGCCAGGGCAGAGAGCTGATCGGGACTTGGCTTAGCATCCAGGGCGCCCAGGAATCCCCCAGCACCTGGCTCCTTCCTGCAGAGCACCTGGCAGGGGCAGGAGAGGGTGGGCCTGCCATGGACCCTGGAAAGGGATGCCCAAGCCCCCTGTGAGTGAATTGCCCTGGCCCTGTGTCCCGTGACTGACGATGGCCATCATCCACTGCCCCCGCTCCTGCTTGAAGCCCACACCCCAGGGCAAAAGCCTGTCCTGGAAGTAGGGGCTGGGGTCCCCAGGAAACCCCCACCTGTCATTCCCAAGGGCATGACCTCCCATGTGGACAGAAGCCATCCAAGCAGAGACACAGCCTGGACGGGCAGCTGCGTCCAGCTCCCGGAAGCGCCCTGGGGAGGTGGGAGGCGGCAGGTTCGTGATGGAAGTGTGGATGCCTCTGACACAGCCGGAGTTACTTCCTCCCGTGCCCCCTCGTGCGTGTCTGCGAACACGCTTGACAGAATGGAGATGGAGTGCAGCCCGGGCTGCGGCCCCCTTTCCATTTAATCTTTGCGCTGCCCCTCCTCATTCACAGACGCCTCTGCAGGAGCTGCTCTGGGGCTGCCGAGTGCTCTGCCCGGTGGAGGTGCCCTGGGGTCTCTCAGCCCCACCCCAGGTGCTGAGGCCAGCATCCCACAGACACTGGAGCCCCAGGGCCCCATGGCCCCACGTCCCCATGCATGGCCGTTTCGACCTGACAGCCAAGTGTCTGCAATCTTGGCCCCATCCCGTGGCCTGAATCTCACTCTCACTTTGCAGCCCACAGCTGCCCGTCAGCTTGGGCTGAGACTGTGCAGAGAGTCGGGGGCCAGGTTCCTTGTGTCCCGCAGAGCCTGGCTGTCCCAGGAGCCTCTGTTCTCATGGAAAACTGTTGGAGGAGCCAGGCGTGGTGGTGCACACACCTGTAGGCTCAGCTACTTGGGAGACTGAGGCAGGAGGATCACCTGAGTCCAGGAGGTTGAGCCTGCAGTGAGCTGTGATGGCACCTCTGCACTCCAGCCTGGGTGACAGACTGAGACCCTGTCTCAAATAAAAAAGAAAGAAAAGAAGAAAATGGTCAGGGCCTGCCTAGTGCCCACAGGCTAGGAGCCCAGGCCTGGGTTCCAAGGCACTGAGGTGGGGACCGCCACAACAGTGTAGGGCCCGGGGGCTCGTGGCAGCAGCTGAAGGCCAGCGTGGGTCCAGGAGAAGCTGTGGCTCCTTGGTGGGGCACTGGCTTGTGGGGTAGCCTCGGCTGGGTCTGGATACTTGGTGACTTCCGTCAAAGCTCCTGCTTTGTCCCTTGATGACTGTGGAGCAGATGTCTTGAGTTTCTGGTCACATTTGGCTCCGAAAACTCAGTCTGAACTGGGCACGGTGGTGCATGCCCATAATCCCAGCACCTTGGGAGCCTGAGGCAGGAGGATCGCTTGAGCCTGGGAATTTGAGACCAGCCTGGGCAACACAGTGAGACCCCATCTCTACAAAAAATAACAATCAGCCAGGCATGGTGGCATCTGCCTGTAGTCCCAGCTACTTAGGAAGCTGAGGCAGGAGGATCCCTTGAGCTCAGAATTTCGAAGCTGCAGTGAGCTGTGATGATACCACTGCACTCCAGCCTAGGTGAGAGAGCAAGACCCTGTCTCTAAAAAAATAAAAAGTAAAATAAAACTCAGTCTGGTTTAAACCTTATTTACAAACCTTTCTGTTTGTTCCCCTAGGCCCCTGAGAGCTCTCGGTGGGACTGAGCTGGCGTGGTGCTCCCTTGGCAGGTGGGTACTTCCTCACTGTCTCTCCCGTCACTCAGAAAACATTTACTGAGCACCTGCCGCATGCCTGGCATTGTGCTGGGGAAAAGAGACTCAAGAACTCCTGTCCTCATGGACCTGGCATCCCAGGGACAGAGACGGTCACTAAACACAATACGGAGGTAAATTTTGAGGTTAGAAAGTGACAACTGCACGGAAGTTAAACATTGGCAGGGGGGGTGGGGTACAAATTCCAAGTAGGCTGGAGGTACATTTGCTATTTTCAGTAGGATGGGCTGGGCGGGTAGCAAAACCTGGAAGGCAATAAGGGCAGGAACAGCATTTCCCACAAGGGGAACAGCCAGTGCAAAGACCCTGTAGGCCAAGGCCTGCCTGACCCCCTCAGGACAGTAAGGAAGCTGGCAGAAGGCTGAAGAGGGTGAGGTCTGAGAAATCATGGAGTAGAGCACGTGGATCTGAGACCTCTCAAGGGCCTTCACCTGGCTGTAGTGAAGGAAGCCACTGAAAGGTCTGGTGGAGAGGAACGAGGATCTGATGTGTGTTTTAAAAGGATCACCTTGACTGAGGTGCAGAATAGACTGCAGGGCCCAGGTGGAACCAGGAACGGCGGGAGGAAGCCCCTGCAGGGAAGCAGCTGGGAGATGACGGTGGCCAGTCCTGGATAATGGGTTGGAGATGAGGGACATGTTCAGGACATATTTTGAAAGTAGAGCTGGCTAGGCTTGGTGGCTCATGCCTGTAATCCAGCCCTTTGGGAGGCCGAGGTGGGCAGATCACCTGAGGTAAGGAGGTCGAGACCGGCCTGACCAAGATGGTGAAACCCCGTCTCTACCAAAAAAACAAAAATTAGCCGGGCATGGTGGTATGTGCCTGTAATCCCAGCTACTCGGGAGGCTGAGGCAGGAGAATCACTTGAACCTGGGAGGCGGAGGTTGCAGTGAGCTGAGATTTTGCCATTGCACTCTAGCCTGGGCGGCAGAGCAAGACTCTGTCTCAAAAAAAAAAAAAAAAAAAGTAGAGCCAACAGGACTTGTTAATGAATTGGATGAGATGAGTCAAAGACAAATTCAAAATTTTGATATGAACAACTCAAAGCTGGGAGCTGCTTGCACCTGAGTAGAGAAGGCTGGAGGAGAGCAGGGCTGTGGGAGGGAGGTCAGGAACTCAGTTCCGAGCACGTCAATTGGGCATCTGAGTGCCAGTGCTGACAGCAGCAGGTTTTATGAGAAGTTCAGAGAGAGCTCTGGGCTGGAGAGAGAGATATGAGTCATTGTGTGGAGATGGGTTTTAAGCTACATGAGCCAATGAGATCACCCAGGGAATGATAGAAACAAGAGGAGGGCCAAGGCTGTAGCCTGAGGACACCCATCATTAAGAGGTCAGACAGATGAGGGGAAGCCAGCAAAGGACATGAGAAGAAACATTTGGGGAGGGGGGAAGCCAGGGGCATGAATTATCTGGAAGCCATTGAGGAAAGTGTCTCCAAGAGGAGGGAGAGATGCTGCTTGGGGTAAGGTGAGGACTGAGAACCGACCATGTGATTTTCAAATGTGGAAGTCCCTGGTGATCTTGACAAGAGCAATTTTCATGGAACAATAAGGAAGAAAACCTGATTGGAGTGGACTTAAAAATAATGAGCTCTATTTATGGACAAGATGAAGTGAGAGGATTTGGATTTACCCTCCCACCTGAAACAACTAAAAAAGATAAATGAACCAATGGATCTACAGACATTGAACATCAGGCAATGAAGGAAAATTATGTCAGAGACATGGAAAAAATGAGGCGAACCTTAGGATTTTCCCAGTTTACTGCCTTGAGAAGTTTCCAGACCATGGTGCAGGGAGGGGGAACCCAGGTGGAGCAGTGAAAAGAGCACCAGTGACCTCCGGGACAACTTCATGCAGCACTGTCAACCTAATATTCAAGCAGTGGGCCCTTTTTATCTGTGGGTTCAGCATCTGAGGATTCAACAAACCACAAATCAAAAACATTTAAGAAAAGAAAGCATCTGTGCTGAACATGTACAGAATTTTTTCTTGTCATTACTCCCTAAACAATACAGTATAACAACTATTTATGCAGCATTTACAGTGTATTATTATAAGTAATCTAGAGATGATTTACAGTATTTGGAGGATGGGTGTAGGTTAAATACAAATACTACACCCTTTTATATAAGGGACTTAACTCCATGGATTTTGGTGTCTCTGGGGAATCCTGGGCCCAAACCCCTGATGGATACAGAGGGACAGTTGTATATGTGTGATTGGAGCTCTTCAAGGGGGAGGGAGGACAGAAAAAATACTTCAAGAAATCATGGCCAAAACTTTTCCAAATAAGATGAAAACTATAAATCTACAGGTCTAAGAAACTCAACAAATATCAAGCATGGTTCATTAAAACCAGTGATAAAGGGAAAATCTTAAAAGCAGCTAGACTGTCACACACACACACACACACACAATGTGCAAAGAAACAAAGATGAGGGTGACAGCAGATTTCTAATTGGAAACAATGCAAGCTGGGAGAGAATGGAACAACATTTTTAAGGTGCTGAAGGAAAAAAAAAACACTGTCAACCTAATATTCTTTACACAGTGGAAAATATCTTTCAAAAACAAAGGCATGACCAGGCATGGTGGCTCACACCTCTAAACTCAGTGCTTTGAGAGGCTAAGGTGGGAGGGTCTCTTGACACCAGGAGTTCAAGACCAGCCTGGCCAACATAGTGAGACCCCATCTCTAAAAAAAGTAAAAAAGCTTAGCCAGGTGTGGTGATGCATGCTTGTGGGCCCAGCTACCCGGGATGCTGAAGTGGGAGGATCCCTTAAGCCCAGGAGTTCAAGGTCACAGTGAGTTGTGATTGCATCACTGCACTCCAGCCTGGGTGACAGAGAGAGACCATCTCTAAAAATAAAAAAACACACACACACTTACACACACATGCATGCACACACACAAAACAAAGGCAAAATAAAGAATTTTTCAGACATAAGGAAAGCCGAAAGAATTAATCACCAGGAGATTCACACTACAGGAAGTGTTAAAGGATCTTACTCAACAGAAGGAAAATGATAACAGGTGAATACACAGAAGAATAAAGAGCATCAGAAATGGCAGCTGTGACAATTTTCTGTTTCAAGCAAAAAAGTAAAAGCAAAATATATTGTGGGGTTTATAACATGTGTAGAAGTAAAATGTATGACAACAGCACCAAGACCAGGAAGGGGGAAATTGAAGTATGTCAGTGTAAGTTCATATGCTGTCTATGCCACACTATAATATCACTTGAAAGCAGACCACGACAAATTAAAGAGGTATACTCTAAAACCTAAAGCAACCACTAAAATAAGAAAACAAACAACTATAGTTAATACAGCAAAAGGAGAGAAAATGAAATCATAAAAAATGAGACAAGGAAAAAATGAGGCAAACCCTAGGATTTCCCCAGTTTACTGCCTTGAGAAATTTCCAGACCATGGTACAGGGAGGGGGAACCCAAGGGGAGCAGTGAAAAGGGCACCGGTGACCTGTAGGAAAACTTCCTGAATCCAAAGGAAGACAGAAAGAAAACAAAGGAACAAAGGATAGGTGGGACAAATGAGAAACAAAAAGCAAAACCATATATTAAATCCAGATAGATTAATATTTACATCAAATGCAAATTGCCTAAACACTCCAATTAGAAGGCAGAAATTTTCTGATTCGGTAAAAATGTCAAGACCCAACTATATGCTTCTTATGAGAAACTCACTTTAAAGACACAAATTGATTAAAAGTAAAAGGATGGAAAAAATAAATCATGTTAATACTAATCAAAATAAATCTGGAGGGGCCATATTAATATCAGACAAAGTAGATTTCAGAGTGTAGAATATTACCAGGGATATGAGGGTCATTTTAAAATGCTAAAGTGTTAATTTATCAAGAGGACAAAAGATTCTAAATATTTATGCACCCAACAAGGGACCTACAAAATACATTAACTAAAAACTGAGAAAATCACAAGAAAACATAGACAAGCCCACTGATATAGTCAGAGATTTCAACATCCTTCTCTCAATAATTGATAGGACAAGTAGGGAGAATACCACCAAGACTACAGAAGATTTAAATGCTATCAACCAATTTGATCTCATTGATGTACAGAATACTCTGGCCAATGACAGTACGAGTTCTATCCTTTCAAGTTCACAAGGAACATTTATCAAGAAACACCATATTCTGCACCAGAAAATAAGTCTCAATAAACTTAAAAGTATTCAAGTCATGCAATATATAACATACATATGTTGTACAACCACAATGGAATTAAACTAAAGATCAATAACACAAATATCTGAAAATTTTCCAAATATACGAAAACTAAATAACCCACCTCCAAATAGCCCCTTGATCAAAGAAGAAATAAAAAAGAGAATGAGAAAGTATTGTGAACTGAGTGAAAAGGAACATATAACATGTCAAAAATTTTTGGATGCTGCTAAAGCAATGTAGTACTTAGAGGGAAATTTATAGCACTAAACATTCATATTAGGAAAAAAGAAAGATCTTAAATCAATGATCTCAGCTTCCACCTTACAAAACCAGGAAAGAAAAAAGCAAATAAAACTCAAACAGAAGAAATAAAATTATAACCATTAAGTGGAAATTGATAAAATAGAAAACAGAAAAGTAATAGAGGAAAATCAATGAAACCAAAAGTTGGTTCTTTGAGAAGATTAATAATATTGATGATCCAGGCTAATCAGGAATAAAAATGAGAAGACACAGATGACCAATTTCAGGACATTAAAAAGGTGACATCATTTTAGATTCTACATGTATGAAAAGGATAATAGAACATTGTAGACAGTTTATGCCAATGAATTTAACAATTTAGATGAAATGGACAAATTTCTCAGAAGATACAAACTATCAAACCTCATTCAAGAAGAAATTTTAAATATGGATAGTCCTTTAGCTATTAAAGATTGAATTTGTAGCTAAAAATCTTCCCAAAAGAAAACTTCAAGACCAAATAGGTTTTAAGGAAGAAATAATACCAATTGTATACAAACTCTTCCAGAAAATTGAAGAGAAGGAAATAATTTCTAATTCACTGAATGAGACAAGCATTACCCTGATGCCAAAACCAGGCAAAAAAAATGACATTAAAGAAAACTACGTACCAACATCCATTATGAACATAAATGCAAAATTCTTAGATTTTAGCAAATAGAATCCAACAATATTGTTAAAGGATAATACATCATGATCAAGTGGGGTTTATCTGTGGAATGCAAAGTTAGTTTAATATTTAAAAAATCAATCAATGTAATTCACCATATTAACAGCCTAAAAAGAAAAACCTTATGACTATTTAGATACAGAAAAATCATTTGACAAAATCCAACAATTGTTTCTGATTTTAAAAAGATAAAACTTAGCAAAATAGGAGTAGAAGAGAACTTCCTCAACTTGAGAAAGGACATCTCTGAAAAACCCACAGCTAATACCGCTGAATGGTGAAAGACAGAATGCTTTCTCCCTAAGGTTAGGAAAAAGGCAAGGATGTTTGTTCTTAACCTTCTATTCAACATTGTGCCAGGTATTCTAGCCAATGCAATAAGGCAAAAATAAAAAGCACCCATACTGGAAAGGAATAAGTAATACTTTATTCATACAGAGCATGATCATCTACACAGAAAATCCTATGGAATCTACCAAAAAAGATATGGAATATACAAAGGCTAATAGAAATAATACTTTGTTGGGTATGGTGGCTCACACCTGTAATCCCAACACTTTGAGAGGCTGAGGCAGGAAGATTGCTTAAGCCCAGGAGTTTGAGACCAGCCTGGGCAACATGGCAAAACCCTATGTCTACAAAAAAAAGATTTTAAAAATAGCTGTGCACGGTAGCATGTACCTGTGGTCCCAGCTGTGTGGGAGGCTGAGGTGAGAGGATCACTTGAGCCCAGGAGGTGGTGGCTGCAGTAAGTCTGCACTACTGCACTCCAGCCTGGGCAATAGAGGAAGATCTCACCTTAGGAAAACAAAAACAAAAACAGAGCCAATACTTAAGTGAGTTTTGCAAGGTTGCTGGATACAAGATTATTATATGAAAGTCAATTGTATTTCTATATACTAGCAACAAAAAATTGGCAATTAAAAATTTTAAATAGTATTTACAATGCCACAAAAAATATGAGATGCATAGGAATAAGTCTGACAAAATGTGCATAGGAGCTGTACACTGAAAACTATTAATGTAAAACATTGCCTAGAGAAATCATGGAAGGCCTAAATAAATGAAGAGATATACCATATTCATGGATCAGAAGACTCAATATTGTAAGTTGTCAATTATCTTTGAATTCATCCATGGATTCAATGACATCTAAATTAAAATTCCAGCAGGTTTTTTTTTCTTTTTTGAGATAGAATCTCGCTCTGTCACCAGGCTGGAGTGCAGTGGCACAATCTCAGCTCACTGCAACCTCCGACTCCCTGGTTCAAGTGATTCTGCTGCCTCAGCCTCCCAAGTAGCTGGGATTACAAGCACATGCCACCATGCCCAGCTAATTTTTGTATTTTTAGTAGAGATGGGGTTTCACCATGTTGGGCAGGATGGTCTTGATCTCCTGACCTCATGATCCACTTGCCTTGGTGTCCCAAAGTGCTGGGATTACAGGCATGAGCCACCACGCCTGGCCAGCATTTTTTTGGTGGAAATTGACAAGCTGATTCAAAGAATCTAAAATAGTCAAAATAACTTTGTAAAATAAGTTCAAAATGGGAAGACTTACACTACCTGACTTCAAGACTTATTGTAAAGCTACAACAATTAATACAGTACGAGCTGAAGTTCAGACTTTGCATTAGTTCATCCATCAACAGCCACAACAACCACATTCAGTATTGTGCGTGTTTCTCTCTCACCCCCTTCTACACTGGGTGGCAGGAAACTTTTGCCAAAGGCCAGCTCCTACAGGGTAGCCTCCCCTTTCCCTGGCCCTGGTGACAGCTTCCTGCCCTCATCCATCAAGCCCACCCTGTGGCCAGCCCTGGGGCTTTGCCACCCCCAGTGGGTTTCCTTGTGGCTACCTGGTGTGTGTGTAGCCTGGGTGGCTGGGTCCAGTAGGAATCAAGACTGAATGACCCCCCCTACCCATGGAGGGTATGGGCTAGGAGCAAAGACAGGTGCTATGTTCTGAATGTGACTGCAAAATTCTTGTGTTGAAACTTAGTCACCAATGCAATTGTATTAAGAGGTAGGGTCTTTATGAGGGGATTAAATCAGGAGGATGGAGCCCTCATGGATGGGATTAGGGCCCTTATATTATAAGAGGGATTGAGGGAGTGGTTTTGCTCTATTCTGTTCTTCCACCATGTGAGGACCCAGCAACAGAGGGCCATTTTGTGAGCAGAGAGCAGCCCTCACCGGACATCAAACCTGCTGATGCTTGATCTTGGACTTCCCAGCCCCCAGAACTGTGGAAAGTGAATTTCTGTTATTTATAAATTGCCCAGTCTGTGATATTTTGTTATAGCAGGACTAAGACAACAGTCAATGAACAAATGATTCTATGAAGGAGAAGAAAACACAAAGATGATAAAACTAGGCTGTTTCTGTCACTTGCTGATTAGATGGACCAGCTGGGTGGAGAACCCAGCAGCAGCTGGACCACTGTATTGTGAGCTTCCAACACAGGGAAGCCCTCTACCTTGGGCATTTCTGTGTTTCCCACACAGTGTTGCTCCCAGGGGCAGCCCCAGTGCCTTCTGGCTGGGGATTGGCATCTTTGGGAGGGCATGGACCATGGCTGCCCCATTGCTGCTGGGGTCCTGGTACATACTGGCACAAATAACGTGCTAGTAGCTCCTTGGAAGAATAAACTCTTCCCTCTTCCTGTCTGCAGTCTGTTAACTCACCCCCTCTCTCTGCCAACTGGGACTGTGATCACATCGCAGACACCCATAGTCTAGCCTGGGGTAGAATGGAACAAGCCATGTGAGGGGCCATGAGTCAGCTCACCCCAACAGATTCAAAATCTTGGCCAGAGGAGAGCAGCTGGAAGTGGGAGCTAGTGTCAAGCATCAGTGACAGGCATGGAGAGGTGCAGCCCACGGCAGCAGGACTGACAGGCCTCTGGAACAGACCAGGCAACACGACGCCCCCATGTGATCTCTACCTGGGATCCCCCTCATGGCTCTCTGCCCACACTGGATACTCACAGGAATGAGCACTACCTGGCTGCAGCACCCCCTCCAGGTCACCATCTGGGTCCACCCATTACAGCATCGGCGCTGGAGACGGGCACGTGCTGGTCCGTGCAGATTCCACTCTTCTCTATTCCACTGAAGGCAGGGGCAGTCCCCTCCTGGAGGTTGGGATTGGGTTTGGGGGCAGTTTGGAGCTTGTCTGGCAGCTTCTCTGGCAGAGCAAGGCCACATCTGCCCTGAAGTTAGGAGCCAGTCTCTGAAGACTCTCCGTAGGCCCTATGCCACCCGTTCTCTCAGGCCTAGGTGGGTAAGAGGTGCCCTAAATAGGGACTGATTGGAAAGTGGATGATGGCAGAGCCAGCAGCCAGGAGGGGGGTCCATTGGCTGATGGCTTCCCTTTCACCAGTGGCTCCTTCTTTTTCTAAATGGGCACCCCCATCCATCCCCAAGCCATGGAGGACATTGAAGGCAGCCTTAAACTGTCCCTTCCTCCTCTGCTGGGGCTGGCAGCCACCCAGGTAGGCTCCCTCCTTGACAAGGCTGTGCCCCCTGAAAGGGCATCCTTAGAGCCCTGCTCCTGATGGGGAAGCCAAGCACTTCTGTGGACAAGAGCCCTGGAAGGGAAGGGTGAAGAGTCGGCCTTGGGTGGAGGCTCAGCTGCATGCCTTTCCAGGGGGTGTTGGCCTAGGGAGGGGTCCCGTCCTTACCTGGGCTAGGTTCCCAGGCTGCCCTGTGAATTCACACGTCCTCCTCGCCCCTACACAGCCAGCACCAAGGGAAATCAGCCCCAGGCTATGGTGACAGGAAGTCCCCCTTCCCGCTCCTGCAGATGCTCCTGGGATGGCGCCAGTAATCTCAGCTGAGATAAATTCCCAGGCAGAGGATGGGCCTGAGGGACAAAGGCCGCCTGGAGCAGGAACGGAGCTAAAGCAATAAGGAAAGGCATAATGGCCCCGCACTTTTAATTTGTGACTAATTTGTTGCACAATGAGGTTGCAATTTTCTAATTGTGATTGCCATTTTAATTTTACTCATGGCTGTGCAACCAACAATGTATAGTCTAGTAATTAAAATTAATTGTACCTTCACCTGCATATTTCTATTAGGCTGTTAAATTTAGTCTGTAAGCTCAATGATTCTGTTCCCTGAAAGATGCCGAATTCATTTCACTGAGCCTGATTCTGCCACACTTGGTAACTCCCCACTCTGAAGGTGGCCTTGCCTTCTGATGAGGGGACGGGGCCATCTCTGCCCCAACCCCTTGGCTCTTGGCAGGCTAGGGGAGCTAAGCTGTCAAGGGCTTTAGCTGAGCCTACAAGTCTATTATTTGTTACACTTCTAATGAGTTATTAGGTTCTTAAATTGTATGTAGGGATTTCATGAATAATCTTGGAAGACACAAATGGGCTTTCTCCACCAAGTTAAGTCCATGTATGACTCCCATGGTTCTTGCTGGACGTCATTTTCCCAACATAAGCATCTTGGTGGCCTTCGGTGGGGGTGGAGGTGGGGCAGGGGTCCCTTCTGAGTTCCGAGTGTGAAGGCCTGAGAATCAGGCCCGGGTGCCAGGGCCAGGGAGCCCTTGGATGCCATTGCCTCCTCCCAGCAGCCACCTGGGTTCATGGGGAAAGAGCCTTTCCTGTGCCGGATGAGAGCAACTTCCAACAATCCTCCTTCCACCTTGGAGGCCTGGTGCCCCCACCCTGGCTGTGCCCAGGGGGCACTAATCTCCTTCAATTAGATGTGCCCTACCAGTTCCTGGTAAAATTGCAACAGCAGCCAGGCCAGATAGATGGACCCTGAAGTGCTGGGGACCCAGACCATCCAAGCCCAGCCTGCTGCCCACCTTTTGCACCATCCCTTCCAATAATCACCTGGGACCCAAGACAGCTGTGGTGTCTGTGATTTGAGACCAAGAATCCTACTGATGGGCCCTGCACTGTGGAGGAGCAAGCTGAGGCCTGGGATCGAACCCGCACTGTGGAGGAGCAAGCTGAGGCCTCGGGCATGGCCAACTATTCACTCAACTGGTCTGTGAACTCCATAATCACACAGAGGGAAGGAGGCCGCTGAACAGTCTCCCGGGCCCTGGGGACCGCATGGGCCTCTCCCGGCCACACAAGGAGCCAGAGAGTGATTCATACAGGCCCAGGCCGGCCTCCAGAGTCATGGCAAAGAGGGTCCTCAGAGCAAGTGACAGTGAGCAATGGGGACACAGAGTGGCTGACCCAGCCAGAGCCAGCCAGGAGAGGGAATAGCCCAAGCCGTCTTCCCCAAGGGAAGCAGAAAGAAGACAGAATTCAGGAGGAACACCTAGAAAAACCCAGCCTGGGCAAAAAAATGCTCACCCTGCATTCCCCAGGTGGACCCGCCCACGGCCTCACTGGTTCTGGTAGGACCCACCGCCATGCTTGTGCAAATCTCTACCCGGGGAGGTCAGGAGGGCCCACCAGGATCACCTGGACACTGCACTGTACCCCACACATCTCACCAGCCATGCAGGTGGCCCCTGAGGCCAGGCTCCCTGGGCCCCTCGGGAGAGGTTGAGGGAAAGCTGGACCTGGTGAGTCCTGCTGGGGCGGGGGTATTTCTGCCCCAGAGAAACTCTCACTTGGGCTCCAAGTCACCCGGCTATGTTGGTATTGACTCCGTCCCCTCTAAGAGCCCCTGGAGGGGCACGGATGGGCCAGTGGGCAGAGGCTAGACAAGGCCTCCAGGTGTGGGTCTCATGCTCAGGAAAAGGTGTCTGCCCAGACTGAGGGCTCTGCGCATATGGGCCATGCCAAGCAGCCTGGGCAGGGGAGGGAGGGAGAGAGATATGAGGCCAATGGGACTGACTCCTGGCAAAGGACCTGAGCCTTCTTCTGTGAGTTGAAGGTTCCCAATTCCACTGAGCCAGGAAGCCCATCTTGCTGGTGCCTCTTCTCTGAGCCAGGCCATAATGGGGCTAGGGAGGAGTCATCAGTTACTGTCCTTCCTTGACATCAAGGAAAACATGGATCTTGATTGTGCAAGAAGGAAGGATGGGCCCTGAGAACCTTTCAGGGAAACTGGGAATAGATACCTCCCCACCCACCCATCCACACATGCAACCATCCATCCACCCACCCATCCGTCATCCACTCAACCATCCATCCATCTTCCCATCCATTCATCCATCCACTCACCCAGTGACCCATTCACCTACCCATCCATTCACCCCCTAATCCACCCAACCATCCAGCACACATCCATCATCCATCTACCCACCCACTCACCCACCAACCCACCCAACCATCCACCCACCCATTTATCATTCACCCATACATCCATCCATCCACTCATCCATCTACCCATCCACTCACCCACCCAGCCACCAACCCACCCATCAATCTATCCACCCACCCACCCATCATTCACTCATCCATCTGCCCACCAACCCACCCAACTATTCAGCACCCATGCGTCATCCGCCCACCCACCCATCCATCCATCCATGTGTCATCTGTCCACCATCCATCCATCTACCCATCCATCATTCATTCAGCCATCTACCCACCCAGCCACCCACCACCAATCCATCCACTGACCCACTCACCCACCCAACCATCCATCCATCCATCCATCCATCCATCCATCCATCCACCAATTTACCTATCAATCCATCCATCATCATTCATCCATCATCTATATATCCATCTACTCACCAGCCACTCATATATCTATTATCCATCCACTCTCCCACCCACCACCCATCCATCTATCTATCCACCCACCCATCTATCCACTCATCTATCATCCATCCACCCACCCATCCATCATCCACCCATCTATTCATCCACCCAGCCACCACCTATCCATCCATCTATTTACTTATCAGTCCACCCATACATCATTCATCCATCATCTATACATAATCTACCAAATCATCATCCATCTATCCATTCATCTACCTATCAATCAATCCATCATTCTTCCATCATCTATACATCCATCCACACATCCAGCCATCTACCCACCCATCCATCATCCTTCCATCCATTCATCCATCCATTCATCCACTCAGCCATCACCTACCCATCCATCTATTTACCTATCAATCCACCCATCCATCATTCACCCATCATCTATACATCATCCACCAATTCATCATCCATCTATCCATTCATCTACCTATCAATCAGTCCATCAGTTATACATTCATCCACCCATCCACACACCACTGATCCATTATCCATTCATCCACCAACCTACCAATGCACCCATCCATTCCCCATCCACCCACCCCATCCATCCACCCACCATCCATCCATTCCCCACCCATCTATCCACTCACCATTCGCCTGTTCATCATCCATCCTTCCACCCACCCTCTCATCCTCTCAGCAAGTGCACACTGAGTGCCTGCCACATGTCAGAGCTGAGCACAGAACAGGACAGGCAGGGCTTGGAGCCCTCAGGTTTTTCACATCCTTAGGTGAGGCTGGTAGGCAAGATAGATAATAAAACGTAAATTTGGAAAACATGTAGCATGTCTTGTCAATACACACTATGAAAAAAATAGTGCAGGGAAAGGGGCCAGGTGCTGAAAGCTGGTGGGGTACAGGGGCAGCATTACAGCCTCAGCCTGAGGAGGTGAGGGCAGTGTGATGTGGAGCTTCGAGGACTGTTAGAGAAGCAGCCCGGGGGCCAGGTGACTGGGGGGGTGAGCACGGGACATGGTCTCAGGACCATAGAAGGTCTTGATCCCTTCCCTGGGTAACACAAGAGGCATCAGAAGCTGAGAGCCAAGGAGCAACAAGGTGTGAATCTGGCTTTATGTGACCTCCCCATGAGGCTGCCCCCACCTTCTCTCCTGACACACACCAGCAGGGGGTCCTAAGCCACGGATGTGACCAGTCACCCTGCTTGATGCCCTCAGTGGCTCCTGTCACTTCACGGTAAAGCTCAGCCTTCAGCACAGGCTGAAGCCCCAACAGCTCCTGCACCACCTCCGCACCCTGTGTGCCCTCGCCCTCCAATAGCAGTCATGCCAGCGTGTTGCTTTCGTCCTTCCTTGCCTTTGACCTTCCTGTCCTTGCCCCTAGACATCCTTTCCCCAGTTCTTACTCTGGTGAGCTCCCTCTCCTTCACAGGCATCCTCCCCCAGGAAGCCCTCTCTGGACCCCTGGGCAGGGCTGGGGGTATCTGCAAGTGCCAGGCATCTTGACTGTGAGCAGCGGCCGGGTGCATTCAGGCCATGGCCCACCCGCTCTGCTGGGCCCACCTGGGGAAGCTCTGCCCTCCCTCCATCCGTGAAGGTAGTCCTCTGGGGCTGTCCTGTACCCTGCAGATCTGGCTTCTTGCTCTGGTACCTCCTGCCTTCCCTGCTGGTGCCCAGCCAGGTGAAGAGCACATGCCTGGCTCCCCTGGTGGGTCCCTCCTGCACCTCTAGGGACACTGGGGGATGAGACGGTCCTGCCCACGCCTGCCCAGTGGAATATGCCCAGGCCTGGATGCCTGCCCTTCCCCCTCACTTGCCCCAATCCTGGCAAAGTACTCCCCAAGCTCCTGCACTCAGGCCAGCAGTTAAGAGTCCTCCCCCGTCCCTCACCCCTCCATCACCAGGGCACCATTTCATGGTGAACAGCTCTCCCATCTGCACACCCTGGGCCAGGCCTAAACCAATGAAGGGGCCTCTGCATGGCCTCTCACTGTCCCACCTGCTTCCACCCCACAGCCAGAGCAGCCTCAGCAAAGGCCACTTTGGGCATGTTCTTCTCTGTGTGGATGCTACCCTTCCCATCCTCTCCATGGCCCAGCCTCATGCCCCCCAGGGCCTCTCATCTTCCCTGCTCAGCCCAGCAGCCTCCAGAGCCCCTCAGCCCCGTGGCTGCCCCACCACCTACTGCTGGTGCCCGCAGTGCCCTCTGCCCGGGGCACCTTTTCCTCCCACCCGCCCGGAGCCCTGCACTGCTAGCTTTCTGCCCCTTCTCCTCAGCGCTGGTCACCGTGTGCTGCCACCCAGGGCTCACAGGCAGGGACAGGGCCTTTTTGCTGCTCCCGAGGCAACCCCAGTAGCAGAATTCAATGAATATCACTGAACAAATGAATGAACGAATGGACGGGAGTCAGTAGTACACCTCAGCTGCATGGTTCCCATGCTCACTATTTTTAAATAATAGGACAAAATGCAGCTATGCTTTGAGGTCCCACGGGAGTGGATTCTGTGGTGCCAGGGAAGGTGGGCACTTGGCCATATGGAGCTGCTGGGCTGAGAGTTCCAGCCTTGTCGGTCAGGCCTGTGCTCCTGGGTCAGGGCTGGAGGTCCCCTGATGCTCCCCCTGTCCTGCTGCCTGTGGCTGGCTCCCGCCCAGAGGAGACAGGGAGGAAGGCCGGGGCGGTGCGGGAGCACTGGGGAGGCCCTGCTGTCATCGGGGTGGCAGAGTTGCCAGCAGCAGGTGCTGCTGTTCCAGGGTGAGGGTAGGGTGGGTCCAGAATCCTGAGCAGTCCACTTTACTGGCCAGTGCGCAAGAGGGTGCCCCCACCAACTCTTGACCTTCTGACCTCCCCCTACCCACCCAGTCCTCCACCCTAGTGGCTGCCTCCTCCTGGCCCTTCTTCTCCACCCACTGCAGGCCAGGCTGTCATCTCCTTTGCACCCCGCCCACCCTGGCCTGGCAGCCATCCCATTTCCAGGTGGCAGGGTGGGCAGGTGGGGGGTGGGCAGGTGGGGATGTGGCAGGTAGGGAGTGGGCAGGTGGGAGGTGGGCAGGTGGGGAGTGGGCAGGTGGGGGTGCGTGGCAGGTGAGGGGTATGGCAGGTGGGAGTGTGGCAGGTGGGAGTGTGGCAGGTGGGGGTGTGGCAGGTGGGAGGTGTGGCAGGTGGGGAGTGTGGTAGGTGGGGGTGTGTGGCAGGTGGGGGCCAGGCAGGTGGGGAGGGGAGTGAACAGGTGGGGGTTGTGGCAGGTGGGGATGTGGCAGGTAGGGAGTGGGCAGGTGGGAGGTGGGCAGGTGGGGAGTGGGCAGGTGGGGGTGCGTGGCAGGTGAGGGGTGTGGCAGGTGGGGGTGTGGCAGTTGGGGGGTGTGGCAGGTGGGGGTGTGGCGGTGGGGGTGTGGCAGGTGGGAGTGTGACAGGTGGGGGTGTGCAGATCTTCCTAGCACCTGCCTGCCCTCTTGCTCCAGGAGCTGGGGCCTCCCCTATCTAGTAGGAGACAGAGGGATGACAGATCCCATGGGCATGTCAGTGGCTGCTGGGAACAAACGCAAGCAAAGGAGGGGACAGAGACGGATTGGGGGGAGGGGGCCAAGAGTTTAATCCAGAGGTCAGGAGAGGCCTCCTCGCCCAGGTGACAGCGAGAGCCTGACGGGGATCCCGGCGTGGCCACCTGAGGAGGAGCCTTCCCGGTCCAAAAGAGGAGGTGGAGGAGCAGCCGGGCAGGGTGGGCTTGACCAGAGGGCTCGGAGGCCTTGCAGGCACCGCAGGGAAGAGGCGAGGCTGACCAGACTCGCTGACCAGACTGGCGTCTTGGTGGAGAACAGCGAATGGAGGTCAGGGTGAGGGGTTGCGGGTCTTGACAGGCGCAGCCAGACAGCAGGAGCGCGGCGGGGCTGGGGGCACCTCTGGGGAGATCCGGGAGGTGGAGCCGGGAGGAGCTGCCACCCGGGTGGGACCAGGAGTGGGGGGGTCCCAGCCTCGGGGGACGGCTCGTGCGGGGTGGGCCGGGGTCCCAGCTGGAGCAGCGGAGTGGAGATGCCCGCAGGGGCTGGACGCCGAGCCCCGGGTGCGAGATCTTGGGGGCGGGAGGACGCGTGAAGCCTGCAGCGGACGGAGGGCAGGCCCGGCCGGCCCCGACACTCACCCGGGCTCCGGCTGCCCCGCGGGACACGGGGCGCGGTGGCCGCTGACACCCGTCAGGCGCGATAACGGGCGCGGCGCCGCCGACGCCGCGAGCGCATTAATCTTCCCCAAATTAAAATCTGCAGCGCGGCGTTTAAGATTGAGGCCACCACGGTTCAGCGCGGTGTGACCGCCAATTTTGATAAAAGTGTTTTAAGAGCGGGGAGACGGAGATAAATTGCCTGCGGCTGCGGCGCGCCACCGGGTGAGAGCCGCGCAGACCCCGGGTCGCCCCCGCCGGCCGCGCTTCCCGCAGTGACGTCCGCTGACATGGGTCCGGCCTGGGCAGGCGGGGACCCCGCCCCCGGCGGCTCCCCCAACCCCCACACCCCCGAGACACCGGGCAGGGAGCTTGCGTGGGGTCCATGGAAAGCCCACCCGGCCAGCCGGCGCCAAGGAGCCGCCCGGAGCCCGGAGCGCAGCCGTGTTCCCCACACGGTCCCCACCCGAGGTGTCCAGCTGCGCCTGACTGAGAGGGCGAATGCCTGATGCGTGCAAGTTCCTTTCTTCAATAAACCCCTCTAGAGCGCCCGAGGTGCAGGCACTGGCTGTGTGCGATGAGCTCCTGCAGGGATCAGCCACCTGGTTCCAGAAGGGGCTGGCCAGGCTCAGCAGTGAGCCCCACTCAGGACCACGCCCACTCTGCCAGGCCCAATAGTGAGTCCCTCTGGGAACCACATGCGCCCTGCCAAGCTCAGCAGTGACGTCCACTTGGGACTACACCCACCCTCTGCGCCCTGACAGCTCAGCCAGCCCCAGGTCTGGCCGGGGTGTGATGGGTGACGCTGGCCATGTGGAGTCAGACAGCTGGGTGGGGACACTGGGAGCTGCCCTCCTGGGGAACCTCCCCAGGATTTCCCTGTCCCCTGCTCATGAGGGACCCCACAAGAGGGCCCCTTCACCACCCCTCCTCCTAGCCAGATTGGCCCCTGTTTTAAAGTCAGAGTTAAAGCCCCTTCCTCCTTGGGGCCTTCTCAGGCCTCACTCCCCTGACTTCCAGCGCCATCTTAACCCCTGTGCCTCACTCTCCTGCCCTGTTGGGCGGTGCCCTCGGGTCCTCTACCCATGGTCAGCATTGGTCCCAGCAGATGCCCTGACCCACTCCCACAAACCCTCCCAGGCCTCGGCCCCTCCTGCTTCCTAGACACATCCCCACCTGGCCAGCTAGAGCTGCCTGTGAGGGCAGTAGGGCTGGGCTGGCCGGGTCTCCGGGGGAAGGAGAAGCACTGGCCTGGAGCCTGGGCAGAGCTGGGCCCACGCCAGGGCCTGGGGTCTGAGAAGGAGCTCTCGGCGAGGGGTTCCTGGAGGAGGAGACAGAGCCTGAGAGGGATTCGCAGGGACAAGGGTGCTAGGAGGGCTGGTTACAGCATTGGGGTCAGGATGGAGCAGGTCCAGGGGAGGAGCAGTGTGGGGGACTTGGGGCCGATTTTTGAAGGACCCAGAGAAGTTGCATTGGCGTCAGCTCAGCTGGACATGTCCTTGATGGCTTTTGCCTTTTCTTACAAAGTTGAAGCCTGTAGGAAACACCTGGTTTGCTTTGGGTGAAGCCTGCCTGCCTGCTTGTTCTCTCCCCTGAGCAGCCGTGAAATTGATATTTAAAACTAATTGTACAGCACCCTCGGGGCAGCAGTGCCAGGCAGTGGCTGGACAGTGGCCATATTCATTCCATCTTGCCTCGGGCTCTGTCCATGACCCCAGCAGGAGATTAGGGGCTGAAGATGAGGGGCTTATCTCCAGCGGACAGGGGCTGCCCCACCCCCACTGCCAGCCGCAGCCCCCTCCTCCAGCTGCCCACGGCCGCTCAGCTGCCCCCTCCTCGGAGAGTGGCCCTCCGATCTCATAACATCCAATTACTGCCCTGACTGCTGTCTGGGTCTCAGATCAAATCGCTCAGCTGCAGTGAGGAGCCCCAAACAGGTCAATCTTGGCCGGTTAGACACGGTGTCCAGCATGAGGCCGCGGAGCCCGCCTCAGGAGCCAGAGGCAACACGCACAGCCCTGGGGTCGTGGCCGCCACCAGCGTCTTGATGATACTGGGCTCTGGCTGTGAGTCAGGGCCAGGACACTGTCAGCATGCAGGGCGCGGTCAGGCATGGACACGAGGGTGGTGGCCTTGGGAAGGGTCACCAGCGACTGGCCACCAGGCCACCCAGCAGCTCTGGCAGTAGGTGCCGCGGCCCCCGGCCCACTGGCTGCAGGCCTGTGTGCTGTAGTGCACTGGGTGGAACAGCATCCCTCTGAAATTCCTGTACATCAGTACCCATGAGTGTGACTCATTCAGAAACAGGCTTTGCAGATGTACTCAAGGTAAAATGGAGTCACATGGGTAGGGCGGGCCCTAATCCAATGACTGGTGTCCTTGTAAGAAGAGAAAACAGAGACACGGAGACACCCACGCAGGGAGATGGCCATGTGAAGACAGAGGCAGGTGGAGTGTGCTGCTACAAGCCAAGAGGATGGCATCCAGGAAGGCCAGCAGCCCAGGAATCTGGGGAGACGCAGGAAGGGTCCTCCCCTGGAGACTGCAGAGAGTGTAGCTCTGCCAGCACCTGGGTTTCAGGCTTCTGGGCTCCAGCCTGTGAGAGGACGCACTTCTGGCATTGTTAGCCCCTCGGGTTGGGGCACTTTGTTATGGCAGCCACAGGACATTGGTGTGCCCACTGTGTTGGCAAAATCTCTGGTTGGTCCCTAGGCCCACAGCTTCTGCCCACCTCCCACCACCTCCCCTCCAAGCCTCCTACCCTTCTCATGGCCCTTTGGGGTACCCACAGCTATACCCTGATGTTCAGAGGTCACTTGAATCCACTGAGAATCTTATGTCAGTCCCAGCCATGTCATCAAACAGGGGCCAGCCCCCTGTGATCTCCACTCCCTACCCTGGGGGCCTCCTCAAAGCCAGGCAGCAGGGCTCTGCAATGCCCTTCAGGGTCCCAAGACCCTGAACCTTCCCCCCTTGCCAGTCAGCCCGAAACTCAGCAGGAGCAGGGTGCAGCGCTTAGAGCCATCCGCAGACCTAGCTCCACAGCCTCCACCTCTGGGAGCCTCAGTGCTTGCATCTGTAAAATAGGGGCGAAACTCCCACTGCTGAGGTGGCCTGCGCTCTATCATCCAAAGGAAAGAGTGGAAGCAGGTGTGTAAAAACGATGCCTGGTCAGCCAGTGTGGACAGGAATTATCCAGGAGAACCAGGTCCCTGAAATGTCCCTAGCCCCAAGGGTCATTGTGAGGACTAAATGGGTAAAGCTCTCTTTGCACAGTGCCCAGCCCTTAGTGGGCACTCAGCAGGCACTTTTCTCTGTCCCTTGATATTGACAGCCACTGGGGGCCTCCTCTGGACCCTGCATTCTCAGCCTAGAGTGGAAGGTGTCACCAGTACCGGTGGCCTGCTCTCCCTTTAAGGTTGGGCGCCAAATGTGGGGTCCTTTATGGCCCTCCTGCCACAGGCACTGATGCTCATCCGTGGCCTTCCACCTGGTGTCTCCTATTTCATTCACAGCCTCTTGTACTTGTGTGCTCTACCAAGGTTTCAAAAACCCATTATCCCATTTAATCTAATGGCAACAGTTTGATGTCAGCAAGGCAGATGTCTTTCCCATTATCTCTCACATCATCATTGCTCATATTCACCCATCATCACCACCATAATCATCACCATTATCATCATCCCCATCATCACTATCACCATCATTATTATCATCATTCACACCATCCCCACCAACATTATCACCACCATCACCACCATCAGCAGCAGCATCGCATCATCACTGTCAGCATTAACATAATCATCACCATTATCATCAACATCGCCATTATCATCAACGTCACCATCATCATCATCATCACCATCATCAGTAGCATCACCATCACCATCACCATCACTATCATCATCATTATCCCTACCATCATCACAATCATCACCACCATTGTCATCACCATGGTCACCACGATCACCACCACCATCATTATCACCATCACCATCATCATCATCACAGTCACCATCATCATCACCATCACCATCATCATCATCACAGTCACCATCATCATCACCATCACCATCATCTTCACCATCATCATCACCATCACCATCACCATCAGCAGCAGCATCACCATTACTATCACCATCATCCCTACCATCATCGTCATCACCATGGTCACCACCATCACCATCATCATAATCACCACCATCACCACCATCATCATCACCATCACCACCATCATTACCATCACCATCATCTTCACCATCATCACTACCACCATCATCATCACCATAATCACCACCATCACCACCATCATCACCATCATCACCACCATCACCACCATCATCACTATCATCACCACCACCACCATCACCATCACCACCATCATCACTATCATCACCACCATCACCACCATCATCATCACTATCATCATCACCATCACCACCATCATCACTACCACCATCATCATCACCATCACCATAATCACCATCATCACCACCATCATCACAATCAACACCATTATCACCATCACCATTGTCACTATTGTCAACCCAATGATGATCTTCTTCATTATCTTCACAATCATCCATCATCATCACCATTATTGTCACTGCCATCAACCCTTTCGTTATCTCCTTTATCACCACCATGACTGTCATCATCATCATCATCATCATCATCATCATCCAAAACCAATTTTCAGCTGCAAAGTCAAAGGTAAAGAGAAGCACTGAATGACTTGCTGAAGGCCACTCGGTCTTCTACAAGGCCACTTTTTAGAAGGGTTCAAACACTCAAACACCTTCTGATCTTCTTCTGTACCAGTCCCAGAAGAAATGCCACGCAAGCAGCCCCCACAGTGCCCTACGCTCTCTACCTTCCTCCTGGAGATGTGCTGATTTTCTGGCCCATGCCCACAGTCAATTCTGCTTGAGGCTTCTGTATCCTGCTCACTCCCTCAGTCATGCCCCATCTCTGTAAGGCCAGAGAATCCTTTTCCATAATACCCAATAAATAACCTGGATTTAATTGAATTAATATCGACAGCATGTAATTGCTCCTGGTTGTTCAAGCCTGCTGAAGAGGGGCGTGAGGGGGTGGGGCAGTGAGGTTATTGCTTTAAAAAAAAAAGGCCCTCAGCCCCGAGCAGCGTTTTGGCCTTATTATTATAGTTATAATGAGGGCGGCTGATTTGACCTCTCCTTCCACAATAGCGCAGCGCAGCCTGGCTAAATAAACTGCCAAAGTCCTTTGTCCCTGTGGGCTGTTTCTGGGTAATTAAAATCAATAGGGTCTTCCTCCAGCTCTCCTTAGCCTCATCAAGCCTCAGTGCTCAGGGCTGCCAGGTGTAAGACAAGCAAATGAACTTGCAGGCCCCTGGAGGGGTGGACTCAAGAGCTGCTTGCACACGAACCAATGGGGCGGGACGGGCAGCGCCCCGGCCAAGCCCGCTTCCCACCTGCTGGTGGCTGTCCTCCAGTGCTGTGGCCTCCCTGGGTCCCAGGAATTTTGGAAACAGCCACAGTCCCAGAGGTGATTGTGTGTGTGGCGGAGGTGGGGCAGGGGGGAGGCTGCAGTGGGGGGACTCCAGAGTGGGCCGTGAGGCCAAGGTCTCAGGCTGCAGCTCCGAAGCCAATGGACAGAAGCCCCCAGGTGGGGCCTGGGGTCTGTGAGGAGGATCAGAAAGGGTTCTCCCCACCCGGGCCGGTATCCTTTGCCCACTCTCCCCACCCCGGCCAGGGACCTCTGCCTTCCCCACTCCACCTTTAACTTCATGGAAGGTGAAGTAAGTCCCTGTGGAGCACTGGACTCCCCTCCCCAGCGGCCACCCCACATCCTGTCCCTAGTCCCAGGGTGGCACTCAGTGGCCACGCGTGGACTCTCTGGACCACACAAGCTTCAGGGCCCTTGCTCACTGCTTAGCGGGTGGGCACCGAGGGGCACCCACCTGCAGGGTCCTGTCCTGGGCTCTGGGGCCCAGGAAGTGAACGGCATAGAGCCCACACCAAGGCAGGGAGGCCGGCCTGCTGCACTTGGAGCAAACTGGGAAGGAGCTGGCACAGGGTGTGGGCAGTGGGGCGGGAGGGCCCCGAGGAGGCCGTGGCAGGTGCAGGGACCAGGCCCTGGGAGGCCGTGGGGGCAGATGAGTGGATTCCAGAAACACGCCAAGGACAGAGACTGAGAGGTCTGTGAAGATGGGGTGGTGGGGGGCACTGACGTGAGGGTGAGGGGCCAGCCGTGGGGGTCATCAAGCTCAGAAGAGCCAGTGGAGCTGGAGGCACCCACTTGGGGTCCTCAATGTGTGGATGAGGGATGAGTGCAGACAGGGCAGGGAGGGGTCAGGGCAGCACCGGGTGCCCACAGTTAGAGGATGGGGCCTGGAGAGACAGAGAAAGCAGCACGGAGCCAGGGCAGGAGAGTCTGCAGGGAGCAGAGCTGGGGTGCTGGGCCGAGCTCGGGGTGGCCGAGCTCCAGAGGCAGGATTGGAAATGCCCCCAGGGGCTGAGGCCACACTGGGCTCCTCCCCGCCTCCTCCTCCTCAGCACCCTGTGAGGCAGGGACCACAGTGCTCCTTCTACAGATGAGAGTGGTCCTCATACTCAAGGTTGCGCGGCTTGCCCTGTCCTCCTCGTCCCCAAAACAGACCTCGGCCCCGCCCACTTGTCCACTCTGGGGGACCCCTGCCGAGTCTGCCTGGCCACTCAGGGACCTTCTCACTGGTCACCACCACGGACGCATCCTCCCTCTCCTGCCCCTTGCTCTGGCCCAGTCTCCTCCCTCAAGGCCTCGGCGGCTCCCCCTGCACTGGGCTGTCTGTCCAGCTGTTTTTGAGGCTGCCCCCACAGATCTCCCCGCCCTCTGACATCCCTTCTCCTGGCCCCCTCCACCACAGTGCCCGGCGTCTCCTCCCCAGCACCGCACAGTCTGGCTGCCAGGTCCGGCTTTAGTCCAGAGAGCAGGCTTAGAGGGCAGGGGCAGGGGTGAGGCAGGAGCTGCCCGCTGGCTACAGCCCCTAAGGGAAAGGCCCCTTCTGGATGTAAACTGTTACATTTCCACCCATGTGTGTGAGTTTTGGCTTCTGCTAGGCCCTGGCCTGGCCTCAGGCCTGCAGGGCTTGTCCCATGTGGTGGGGTGGGGACCACAGCACCAACCTGGGGAGGCCGCTGCAGCCTGGGAGAGGCTCCACCTGAGGCCCTTCCACCCCAGCCTCTCCACTCCCGCTCAGAGCTCCCTCCCTGCCCAGCTGCTCAGAATCCTCTTCAAGACAGCCTGCAGCAGGGGCTGGAGTCAACCGCCTGTGCCCTGGGACCCAGCACGGAGCCTGGTGACCCACAGGAGACAGCCAATTCCTGTGTCCGTCAGGGTCCAGCCGGAGGCAGAGCTGACACAGGCCACCCTTGGTGTGGGCTCAACGGGTGAGTCCCAGAGGGTGGGGGGAGCAGGACCAGAGGCCCTCGGATCCTGATACGTAAGGACCTGATGCTGGCAGAGGGAGGTGGCCCCAGCCAGCCCTGCGGGGACACTGCCCACCAATCAGAAGGCGAAGGGTTGGGCTCGGCCAGGCCACCCGCCCCTCACCTCCACTCAGCGGCAGGTTCACCAAGGACGTCTAACAGCCCAGCTCTGGCCTTCCTCCCACACAGCCTACGGGCCACCCAGTGCCCGATGACACCTGACTTTGAGGGTCTCTGTCTGGCTTGCCGAGGACCAGGAAAGAGTTTATTTCCATTCTTAAAAGAGGTTTCAACTTCATGATCCTCCGTAAGCCCTCTTTTCCTAATTAAATGTAGCCTGAATTAAATTCCTTTCAGGGTGCGGGGGCAGCCGGCGCGCTGACCAGCCAGAGGGACCCTCACCCCTCGGGGTGGGCACGAGCAGCAATCACAGGACAGTGATCCATGGGCCAATATCCCCAGCACCCACGCAGCCGACCCCAGGGCCGCTATTAGCTGCTTTTTAATTAACTGTCCACCTCTCCCACCCTGGGCAATCAGACGCCCAGAAGAGGGAAGGAGCAGCCAGGCAGTCTGGTGTCCATGGCCTCCTTTCCTGCTGACGCTGTGGGGCTGCCGGCGCCCCCTGAGCCGCACTCCGGGGCCTCTGTGTCTCCCCGTCCTGCACAGTGCAGAAATCCCAACCTTCACCCACATTCCCTCGGGTCTCCCAGGGCCTTCTGGTCTTCTCGGGTTGGCTGGGGGAACACTGGATCCTGCAGAGGCAGTGGCAGGAGTGAGGGGCCTGAGGGGCCCTCCGGGGAGGGAGGGCAGGGGCTGGGGAGGGGACACCCGAGGTAGGAGGGGGCAGAAGGCCTGGCAGCAGGAGGACCAGGGGTGGGGGAGCCGTGTCGGCCACGGGGTCAGGGGGCTGCGGCTGCCCCCTCCCTTGGGGATGCCTGGGGACACGGTGCACCCCACAACCACCAGCCACCCCCCAGGGCCTGCCCACAGCACAGGGGTCCAGAGACCGACAGTGGTGAATCAGGTACGCGCCGACTGGACCTTGGGTTTCCAGAAACTGCCTCCAACAGAGATCCTTGGGTTTGAACCCAGGCCCAGACAAAGCTGGGACCCCAGCCCCACTCCTGCACTTATTTCATGAAGCTTTGTGGGCACTGAGTCGCTGCCTTCCTGCAGCAGAAATCTGGTGGGAGAGAGGGGCACAGACGGGAGAGGGCAGGCTGCCTGGCGAGGAGGGGGCAACGGTTCAGCTCGGTCGGCATGGGGGCCACTTTGAGGAAGTGACTTGGAGCTGAGGCCGCAGCAAGGGAGCAGTGAGCTCCACACAGCTGTGGGTCTCGTGCTCCCTGCAGATGGCATGTGCAGAGGCCCGAAGCAGGCAGGGATGAGGTCAGCGTGGCTGGAGCGTACGCAGGAAGCCGGCGGCCAGGGAGGAGAGAAAAGGCTGGGGGCCCACGGGGGAGGCTCTGCGGCCTTGGCTGCAGGCTACAGGAGCTGGCCCCTCTGAGAGCCGGAGGGAAGGACAGCTCTGGGCTCCTGACCCAGGGGGCCCTGCCGGAGCCCTCTCAGGCCCTGCCAGCACGGCCGCCACAAGGCCCGGCTTATTCCCAGGACCCCAACTGCAAGCAGAATGTGGAGCCCACACAAGGGGCTTCAGAGAGCTGCCAAAACACACGCTTACAGCCCCTGGGAGGTTCACAACCAGCAACACATGCCCACACACCTGACACCCTCCCACACACACCTGCACTCCCCACACACGCCTGCATAGCCCGCCACCAGCACACAGACGACCACCCCCCACACTGGTGGAGGCCTTGGCTCCCTGGCTGGCTCACGCTCCATCCACTCCCACCGCCTGTGTACACAGCCCCACGGGGGCCGCCCACCAGGCTGTCCTCTGCGGATGCTGGACACTGACCCACGCGGGGCTTGTGGGGGGGCGACGTGATAACTCTGCAGTCTCAATGAAACGCTGCCGCCAGCCCTTGGCTGGAGGATGCTGGGGGCGGGGGTCCTTCTCCAAGCCTCCTTTCCTTTTCCCCAGCTCCAGGGCTGGAACATCAAACCTCAAGCCCCTTCTCACGCTCCATTCGCAGGGGACTCCAGTGCTTTCTGATCTGACACCCGCCTCCCCTGAGTGTGGCTCCTCTGAGCTGGGACGGGCTCAGGAGTGACGGGAGCAGCATAGGACATGGCGCACATTCTGTTCTCTCCCTGTGGCTGGAACACAGTGTCTCGGGGCCTTCCCTGGCTGGGGGACAACGTGTGTGTGCACCTGGGCCCTGAGCACAGGGACTGGGCCTCTCCTTCCTCTGGAGACCCCACACGTGCACAGTGTGTCCTCCGTGACGAGCAAACATCAATATTCCTTAATCCACATCCAGTATCATGAAGCCCAGTGGGTGGCCACTGGGGGCTGCCCGGTAGCCTCGGGCCAGCTCAGTGGGGTCCTGGGTAGCAGCTTCTCCCCCCACTTGGAGTCGGAGAGCAGCCTCCAAAGACCCCCGGATCCCCCCGGGCACAGACCGAGGTCAGGTCACCCCCAGTGTGCTCAGGACCGGGATGCAGAGGCCGCCGGCATCGCGCAGGCTGGGACTGGAGGGAGGCGGGGCGGGAGGGAAGCCTCCTGGGAGAAGTTGACCCTTGCAAGCGAACAATCCCTGGCGATTTCCCAGTCAAGTCCCGGCAAGCAATCAGAGCCCCCCGCCAAGGTTCAGGAGCACGGATGGAGGCGAGAGGGCAGCCTCTGCCTTCATGCTTTATTCCCTGACAGTATCCATCTTTCCAAATTGATTTTTGATATCCATAGTGACCTGGAAGGGAGACACGGCGATAACTCTTAGAAAGTGGAAAACAATATTATCGCCACAAATATGAATTACTGGCCGCCAGGTGAAATCTACTGTGCAGTGAATTATGTGACCCTGGCACTCCTATAATTCTTGGGAATTTTATAGAGTCGTGAGAGGGCCTGTGGGCGCTGACAAGCACTTAACAGCCAGAACCGGCCCCACAACTCTCGGGGCCATTTGATTTAGCCGTCCCGGGCACTGTGGGCCACTCTGCCCTGTCTGGGAAGCACGGGGAAGGAGGGGGGTGGTGGGCCGCCACGTCTGGAGTTTCAGACTTCATCTGAGGCTCTGATCATCATTCTCAGGGCTGGAGACTCTCAGACGCTGCCTCGTCGCTGTCATGGGCAACAGAGCAGCACCCGCTCTGTTCACCCTCTGTTCCCTGTTCACCCTCTCTGTCCCCTGTTCACCCTCTCTGTTCCTTGTTCACCCTCTGTTCATCCTCTGTTCTCTGTTCACCCTCTCTGTTCCCTCTGTTCACCCTCTCTGTTCTCTGTTCACCTTCTCTGTTCCCTGTTTGCCTTCTCTATTCCCTCAGCGGGTACTTACCAGTGGGAGTAGGTGGTGGGAGACCCGTTTGGCCTTGTCAAGGGTCCACACACCTTCTGTGAGAGGGGCCTTGGGGCTCACCTGGCCCAACCCAGAGTAGGTGGACACCCAGAGCCCCACAGCAAAGGGCGTCCTGCCACCTCACAGAGCAAGGCCAGGCCTGCCTTGCGGGATGAACACAGCAGAGGACATCTGGGGGGCAGGTGGAACCAGTGCTGACCAGTGCCTGTCCCTGGAGGTGAGGCAAGGCTCCCACCCAGGCAGTCAGGATCGAGTGGTAGGGAGGCCTGGGGGCTGTGCTGAGCCCTGCCCACAGCTGCTGTCCATTGGTTGAACAAAAGCACAAAGGGGCCGGGTGCGGTGGCTCAGGCCTATAATCCCAGCACTTTGGGAGGCCGAGGCAAGCAGATCACCTCAGGTCAGGAGTTCAAGACCAGCCTTGCCAACATGGTGAAACCCTGTTTCTACTAAAAATACAAAAATTAGCTGGGCATGGTGGTGCATGCCTGTAATCCCAGCTACTCAGGAGGCTGAGGCAGGAGAATTGCTTGAACCCGGGAGGTGGAGGTTGCAGTGAGCCGAGACTGCACCACTGCACTCCAGCCTGGGTGAGAGAGCAACACTCAGTCTCAAAAAAAAAAAAAAAAAAAAAAAAAAAAAAGTACATAGGAAGGAATGAGAGAATGGATGAATGAATGAATGAATGAGAGAACTAACAAAAAAAGGAGGGAGGAGGGAAGGAAGGTGGGAAGGAAGGAGTAGCTGAGTGAGTGAACATGAGTGCCCATCTGGCTGGCCAGAGCCAGAGACAGTGGGAAGCATTTCTGAGCTCAGACCCAACCTCCAGCTGCCCCAAGTCGGCCTTGTCTGATGGGGGGCATTTGGGGCCCTGGGGTGCAGACGTCGGGGAGAGAGGAGAGTCAGTCAGTGTGAACGCTGTGGAGGTGAACTCAGTGGCAGGGTTAAGGGGAAGCACCTTGATGTTCGTGCCCCTGGATCAGCTCTGTGCCCATTACTGGCTGGGCTGCGGGCTGTCCCCACCCCAGGGATAGCCAGGGATCCTGGGGCTGCGTGTCTGGGTTGAAGTCGGGGACATAAGGTGGTGGGGAGTTGCGGGAGAGGAAGGGGCTGCTGGAAGTTGGGGCTGAGGGGGTCGCCGTAGGGCCTAGTCATCAGGGTCCCTTGCTGACCAGGACTCCCCAGAGCAGGGCGGGGCTGGCTGGGCAGCTCCCCACAGGTGACGGCCACCTCCTCCAGGACCCCAGCCCCAGGGCCACTCAGAGATGGGGGTCCGCATGGGAGGTTGAGGGAGAAGCCACTCGGCCAGGTGTCCAGGACGTCCTGGTTGTCACTGATGCCTGGAACTGACTGGAAGTGGAGTCCACAGGCTTCTCCAGGCCCAGACCTCGGTTCCTCGTTCTCCGACACCCAGGATCTCCCTCAGTCCTGAGACTGGGATCCACGCTGCCCACTGGTTGCAGGAACTTCCTTTGCCAGGGTCCTGGGGGGCAGAGGCCGGGACTGCAGGGCTAGCCCGGGTCTGTCCTCTGGCCTGGAGTTCTCTTGGCAGCCCGGCCTGGGGGCTCCCGCTGCACCACCTCGCCACCAGTTGGGGGTGGGGGCAGGACCAGGACGAGTGCCAGATCGCACCGGGAGGCCTCGAGGGTGGGATGTGGCCGACCGTCTCCCACGGTGGGACAGCAACAACACAAATGTCATTTAATTTACATGACAAAGTGGCGCCTTTATTGCGAGCTGACAGAATGCCGCTGGGGCAATTTCCGAAAATTATTTAAACAATGTAATGAGTTAAATGTCAGCGCTGGCTAATTATGTTTATGCTAATTGTTAATTAGCCCTATAATGCAGACAGTCTTAATTAACAATGGTCGTGAGTGTGGGTGGGGGCTCTGGTGGCTGACACAGACTGTGTGGGCTCGGAAAGGGCTGGGAGGTCCCGGGGGCTGGGCACAGGTCCTGCCAGCCAGGCCTGGGCACCAGCCCGCAGCTTCTCCTGTGTGGCCTTAAGGTCCCCTCAGCCACCTGCATCCATGGCAGAAGGACCTCCAGAGGCCAAAGTGTCCTTCCTCTCCCTCTCTCCTCCCTCCCCCGTCTCCATCCTCCTCCCCTCTCCACCAGGCTGAGGACAGATCGGAAGGAACCTCACACAGGCCAGCTGGGCAGATGTTGGGGTCCTGGTGGCCCAGCCCTGCATGAGCCCCTCCTGTGGGAAGGACAATGTGGCTCATTGTTAGGGGAGGATAGGCTGCTCAGCCAGGCCCCCCCAGTCACTCACCACCCCCCAGAGCGCTGCCAGGAGAGGATGTTTAGTCCCCTGTGATGGAGGAGAAGTCAGACACCACTGGGGAAGGCTCTCCTGCCAGGCAGGGAGCTGAGGCTTAAAGGCCCCAGAGCCCCCACACTTTCCTCCAAGCCCCCTTCTACTGGGCCACCTGGACTCAGGGAGGGGTTCTGCCTTACACTCCATGACTTCCCAGGGACCCTGACCTCACTGGACAGGACCCTGGGGCCACCCTATGGGCAGAGCGGGCCACTGTGCACCCAGCTGGATGAAATGAAAGGAACAGCCACAGGGACTCCCTGGGGTGGGGGCCCTGGTCTAGGCCATGGGGGGCTGAGCTGGAGAGGGAGAGGAAACAAGCAAAGTCACCCAGAGGAGCCGAGATGGGAGACCTCTTGAGTAGGATCTAGGAAGTGTCAGGGAGAAAGAGGAGGACTGGTCTTACAGGGCCGGGTGGGATTTGCATAGCACAGGGCAAGCATGGAAGCTGAACCAGACACAGGGAACAGAGGGAACAAACACGGAACAGAGATGACAAATACACAGCTGAGAGGGCAAACAGGGAACAGAGAGGGCAAACAGGGAACAGAGAGAGCAAACACAGAACAGAGAGTGCAAACACGGACCAGCGAGGACAAACAGGGAACAGAGAGAGCAAACTGGGAACAGAAAGGGCAAACACAGAACAGAGAGGGCAAACACAGAACAGAGAGGACCAACAGGGACCAGAGAGGACAGACAGAGACCAGAGAGAACAAACAGGGACCAGAGAAGACAAACAGAGACCAGAGAGGACAAACAGGGAACAGAGAGGACAAACATGGACCAGAGAGGACAAATGTGGAACAGAGAGGACAAACAGGGACCAGAGAGGACAAACAGGGAACAGAGAGGACAAACATGGACCAGAGAGGACAAATAGGGAACAGAGAGGACAAATGGGAACAGAGAGGACAAGCAGGGAACAGAGAGGACAAACAGAGAACAGAGAGGACAAACAGAGTGTAAACTAAAAATAAAATCCTAAGCTCCTCACCAAATAAATGGAGCCCCTCTATCCAAGGGAACCCCAGCAAAACCTTAAAGACTTGGCTCCCAGCCATGATGGAAAGGGAGATGGAACTCACCCCGTTTTAGTTTCTCCTTTTTAGAGTGTAGCCACAACTGACCGGCATTAATGTTGGTGCCTAAACATTAGAGGTCATTAGAGATCATTGGAGATCTGGAGATCACATGACTGGCAGAACAGACTCTTCATGGGAATAAGATATCAAACTATAAACAGGTCTCAAAAGCTATGCCAGGCAAGGGTAAGTCCCACCTGTGGGCCATTGATCCTGCTAAGCAGGGCATATTGTGGCTGACTGACATAGCATCCTTATCTTAAATACTCCTTTCTGGTTTTTGACAAAGTTTTATTCCTTTAATCAATTGCAGATTAAAGGATCTCTGAATCTACCTATGACTCGTGATATTGTCTGGCTTTGTGTTCCCACCCAAATCTTATCTTGAATTGTAATTCAAATTGTAATCCCCATATGTTGGGTGAGGGACCTCGTGGGAGGTGATTAGATCATGGGGCAGGTTCCCCCATGATGTTCTTTTGATAGTGAGTGAGTCTCACCAGATTTTATAAGTGTCTGGCATTTCCCCTGATGGCACTTCTCTCTCCTGCCACCATGTGAAGAAGGATGTGTTTGCTTCCCCTCCCACCATGATTTTAAGTTTCCTGAGATCTCCCCAGGCATACAGAACTGTGAGTCAATTAAACTTCTTCCCTTTATAAATTACCCAGTCTTGGGTAATTCTTATAGTAGTGTGAAAATGAACTAATACAGTAAATTGGTACCAGGATTGGGGCACTGCTAGAAGGATACCTGAAAATATAAAAGTGATGTTGGAACTGGCCAGCTGGCAGGGGTTGCAACAGTTTGGAGGGTTCAGAAGAAGAAGAAAAATGTGGAAAAGTTTGGAACTTCCTAAAGACTTGCTGGATAGCTTTGAATAAAATGCTGATAGTGATATGGACAATGAAGTCTAGGCTGAGGTGGTCTCAGATGGAGATGAGGAACTTGTTGGGAAGTGGAGTAAAGGTGACTCTTGCTATGTTTTAGCAAAGAGACTGGTGGCATTTTGCCCCTGCCCTGGAGCTCTGTGGAACTCTGAACTTGAGAGAGATGATTTAGGGTGTCTGGAGGAAGAAATTTCTAAGCAGCAAAGTGTTCAAGAGGTGACAGAGCATTAAAGTTTGGAAAACTTGCAGCCAGATGATGCAGTAGAAAAGAAAACCCCATTTTCTGGGGAGAAATTCAAGCTGGCTGCAGAAATTTGTATAACAAGGAGCCGAATATTAATTTCCAAGACAATGGAGAAAATGTCTCCAGGGCATGTTAAAGACCTTCATGGCGGCCCCTCCCATCACAGGCCTGGAAGGCTAGGAGCAAAAAATTGTTTTGGAGACCTAGGAGGAAAAAATGGTTTCATGGGCTTGGTCCAGGGCCCCCTGCCGTGTGCAGCCTAGGACTTGGTGCCCTGCATCCAAGCCACCCGAGCCATGACTAAGAGGGGCCAAGGTACAGCTCAGGCCATTGTTTCAAGCCTCAAGCCTTGGCAGCTTCCATGTGGTATTTGTCCTGTGGGTACACAGAAGTCAAGAATTGATGTTTGGAAACCTCTACCTAGGTTTCAGGGGATGTGTGGAAATGCCTGGATGTCCAGGCAAAAGTTTGCTGTGGGGGCAGAGCCCTCACGGAGAACCTCTGCTAGGGCAGTGCAGAAGGGAAATGTGGGTTTGGAGCCCCCACATAGAGTCCCCGCTGGGGCACTGCCTAGTGGAGCTGTGAGAAGAGGGCCACTGTCCTCCAGACTCCAGAATGGTAGATCCACCCAACAGCTTGCACCATATACCTGGAAAAGCCACAGACACTCAACACCAGCCCATAAAAGCAGCCGGGAGGGAGGCTCTACCCAGCAAAGCCACAGAGGCAGAGCTCCCCAAGGCTGTGGGAGTCCACCTCTTGTGTCAGTGTGACCTGGATGTGAGACATAGAGCCAAAGGAGATCATTTTGGAACTTTAAGGTTTAATGACTGCCCTACTGGATTTCAGACTTGCATGGGCCTGCAGCCCCTTGTTTTGGCCAATTTCTCCCATTTGGAATGAATGTATTTACCCAATGCCTGTACCCACCCTGTATCTAGGAAGTGACTAACTTGCTTTTGATTTCACAGGCTCATAGGCAGAAGGGACCTGCCTTGTCTCAGTTGAGACTATGGACTTGGACTTTTGAGTTAATGCTGAAATGAGTTAAGACTTTGGTGAACTGTTGGGAAGGCATAATTGTGTTTTGAAATGTGAGAAAATGAGATTCGGGAGGAGTCAGGGCTGGAATGATATGGTCTAGTTCTCTGTCCCCACCCAAATCTCATCTTGAATTGTAATTTGAATTGTAATCCCCACATGTTGGGGGAGGGACCTCATGGGAGGTGATGAGATCGTGGGGGCAGTTTCCTCATGACGTTCTCATGATAGTGAGTGAGCCTCACAAGATCTGATGGTATTATAAGTGTCTAGCATTTCCCCTGCTGGCACTTCTCTCTCATGCTGCCATGTGAAGAAGGATGTGTTTGCTTCCCCTTCTGCCATGATTGTAAGTTTCCTGAGGCCCCCTCAGCCATGCAGAACTGTGAGTCAATTAAACCTCTTTCCTTTATAAATTTCCCAGTCTTGGGTAATTCTTCATAGCAGTGTGAAAACAAACTAGTAAAACTTGTAAGCCTCTGTTTTGAGATTTCCTACCTTTTCGGGCTGAACCAATGTATATCTTTGATATAGTTTAGATATTTGTCCTGCCCAAATCTCAAATTGAATTGTAATACCTAAGGTTGGAGTTGGAGATGGGGCCTGGTGGGAGGGGTTGGAACATGGGGATGGATCCCTCATGAATGGCCTGGACTCTCACCCTGGTGATGAGTGAACTCTCCCTCTGAGTTCACATGAGATCTGGTCATTTAAAAGTGTGTGACACCTCCTCTCCATTCTCTCTGTCTTTCTGTTCTTCTGGCATGTGATGTACCTGCTCCTCCTTTGCCCTCCACCATGACTGGAAGCTTCCTGAGGCCTCCCCAGAAGCAGATACCAACACCATGCTTCCTGTACAGCCTGCAGATGTGACTTTAGAGAGGACAGTCCCCTCACCCATACCACTGCCACACAGAGAGGGAAAAAGAGAGAGCACCCATGCATATGTGTGACCTTTCAAATCACAGCCCCACCCATTGGTCGACAAGGCCCAATTGGCATTTTGTAGATTACAGTTTGAGCAATCAGATTATTCATGCCTCCTTTACTAGGGAGAGGTGTCAGAGGTAGAAGGCTTCCCACTCCCCTCTCTCTGTCTCCAAGGAGGTCATTCATCCTTGCTAGAGCACACAAAGACCCCCACCGCACCTCTGCAGCCACATCTGTAATGGTGTCCCCACATTGGCACCTCCCACTTCCCTCTCGATAGTGGAGGGAAGGTAACATAGCATTACACTACTGATGATGGTAGGATAACATGAAGAGCAGGGGCTCAAGCACTCCTGCCCCAGAACAGGCTACAGGGCCAGGGAAGCTATGCTTTTTGATCAAGGAAACATATGTGCATCCAAATCCAAATTCCTCCACTGAAAAGCTGTGTGACCTTGAGCACTTTACTCTCCTGAGTTTCCTTATTTGTAAAATGGGAATAGCACTTCTCTGTCTGGGTTGTATTAGGGTAAGAAATGAAGTGTGCAAAGCATCTAGCATGCAAAAAACACTTGATATGCTTGATCAAGCTTTATCATCATTGCCATCAGGCATCACCATCACCTGATGGGGTGATGATGGTAATGATAGTAATGGTGATGACTGTGGTAGTGATTGTGTTGGTGACGATGATCGTGATGGTGATGATAATGATGATGATAGTGATGATGATAATGGTAATAATGGTGGTGGTGATAGTGATGTGATGATAGTGCTGTTGGTGGTGGTGATGATGGTGACAATGATAATGTGAGATTATGGTGGTGATGGTGATGAAATGATGGTGGTGATGGTGATACTGATGGTACTGATAATGGTAATAATGGTGATGATGACAATGATGATGTCAAACAATGATGGTAATGGTGATAATAATGTTGATGGTGGTGATGGTGCTGATGAAGGTGGTGATGATGCTAGTGATGATGATGATGGTGATAGTGGTGGTGATGGTGTCGATGGTGGTGATGATTATAATGGTGATGGTGGTAGTGATGATGGTGGTGACAGTGATAATAGTGTTGACGATAAGAATGGTGGTGATGACAATGTGATAATGGTGGTGATGGTGTTGATGGTGGTGGTGGTGATGGTGATGATGGTGATGGTAAAAATGTGATGGTGATGATTGTGGTGGTGATGATGGTGGTGATAGCAGAGGTGATGGTGATATGGTGGTGGTGGTGGTGCTTGTGATGATAGAGTTGATAGTGGGAATGATGGTGATAATGGTGGGTATGGTGATTATGATGGTAGTGATGGTGACAATGATGATGGTGGTGGTGATGGTGATGTGATGATGGTGATAATGGTGATGCAGATAATGGTAATGATGATGGTGATGGTGATGATAATGATAATGTGAGGTAATGATGGTGATGGTGATGGGGATGGTGGTGATGTTGATGTGATAATGGTTGTGATGGTGGCAACAGCGGTGGTGATAGTGATGACAGTGGTGATGGTGGTATTGATAGTGATCATGATGGTCATAATGGTGGTGATGGTGGCAATGGTGGTGGTGGTAGTAATGCTGGTGTTGCTGGTAGTGATGATGGTGATGGTGATGATGATTATCATGATCATGATGGTGGTGATGGTGACGATAATAGGGTACTGTTGATGGTGGTAGTGGTGATGATGATAATAATGATGGTGATAATGACATAGTGAGAAGATGATGGTGGTGAGGACGATGGTAGTGATAGTGATGTGATGGTGATAATAATAGGGTACTGTTGATGGTGGTAGTGGTGATTATGATGATAATAATGATGGTGGTAATGATGACATGGTGAGAAGATGATGGTGGTGGTGAGGACGATGGTGGTGATAGTGATGTGGTGGTGGTGATGGTGACGACGATGGTGGTGGTCATTATGGTGATTATGATGTAATGATGGTGATGGTAATGATGATGGTGATGATGATGCTAATGTGAGATGATGATGATGGTGATTGTGATGACAATGGTGATGGTGGTAGTGATGGTGATGATATGGTGATAATGGTGGCAATGGTGGTGGTGATGGTGGTGATGATGAAGATGGTGATGGTGGTAGTGATGGTGATGATGTTGGTGATGATGATGTGATGTGAAGATGATGTGAAAATGGTGGTGATGGTGGTGGTGATGGTGATAATGATGGTGGTGATGATGATGTGACGATGATGATGGTAATGTGATATGATGAAGGTGATGGTGATGAGGATGGTGGTGATGACTGTGGTGACAGTGAGGATGGAGGTGATGGTGGTGCTAGTGATGATAAAGGTGATGGTGGTAGTGATGGTGATGATGACAGTGGTGATGATGATGTGATGGGGATGATGAGGAGAATGGTGGTGATGATGATGTGATCATGGTGTTGATGGTGGTGGTGTTGGTGGTGGTGATGGTGATGATGGTGATGGCAGTAGTGATGATGATGATGTGAGGTGATGATGATGACGGTGGTGATAGTGGTAATGGTGGTGATGCATTTAGTGGGGAAAAGTTAAACAAAGAGCAAAACCTCTGGTTGCTGCGGCCATGAAGATGTGTGACAGCATCGTGCTCACAGTCTCTTGGCACTCATGTTTCCGTTGGCATCCATTTTCAGTTTGAATGCCATCAAGAAGTTATCCTTCTCTCCAAAAGAAGGGGGGCATAAGGCACACCTTCCTGTCCTTTCAGGGTCACAGAACACAGATGGGTACACCCTACCCCTCAACCTCCTTGGGCTCCAGGCTCCCTTTCCAAGTGATGGGGGCTTGAGATGTGTCAAAGACTTGTTGGGCTCCCCAGGGACACACAGGAGACATAAGTGGGGGAGGGAGAAGAGGAGGGGCCCCCAGTGAGGACTCGCCAGGCAGGTTCACTCTGCTTTGTGTGCCTCAGAGACTTCCCATGCACCAGAGGGCCTTGGGAACCACCTGTGGTGATGGTGGTGGTGCTCGTGATGGGATGCCCTGGGAGGCATCCTTCAGCCAGACGATAATAAGAAGTGGGGATCATATATACTACCCAACAGGCCAGCTCACACACTCTTCAGGGGGCTCGAATAACACTCGTGCCTGGACGTACACCAGGACACGTGCTCACCCTGGTGAGAGGGCCCGAGGCTCACGTGGCTCCAATGCCCTTCACCAGAGGACATCTGGGAGCTGCAGGAGCATCTTCAAGGAAGCTGCATCCTGAGCCCACCCCAGCAGGGCTTGGCACAGAGTCACAGAGATGGAGGGTGGTGCACGGACCGGGGCAAGCCAAAGCCTCCCTGGCCAAAACCTACCATCGGACATGAAGTTCCAAGTCATGGGGCACCCTTAGAACCCCTGACCCCAAGCAGTGCCAAACGTGGACGGAGCTGAGGGTGGCTGGGCAGGAGCCAATTAACCCTAGGCCTCCAAAGCCAAAAATGGCAGCACTTAGCCTTATTTAGTACCATTTATACCAAACCGACAATTGTACATTCACTCACTCAGCCAGTATTCCCTGAGCACCTGCTGCGTCCAGCCATGTCCTCAGAGCTGGCCGAGCTGAGAAGGCGAGGGCAGGAAACAGGAGCAGCCCTCCCTCCCGAGCACCTGCTCTGTCCACACCTGGTCCTCACAAGGAAACTCAGGGAAGTCCAGGGAAATCCCCAAACCGATGAGGAATCAGGCTCAGGCAGAGGGGCTGCCCAAAGTCTGTTCCACGGGCAAACCGGGCTCCCACTGGCCCCGTGATTCTGAAACCCCAAGATTCTGAAACTCCATGCTGCCCAGAAAGAGCTGCAGAGACCCCCTCCTACCCCCACCAAGGAGGGAAGAGGTCCACGGGCCTTAGACAGGGCCCCGTGGGTGTCCAGACCATCAGGATGGTGTGGGCACCTGGGAGAGTGAGGTGGGACCAGAGCTCAGCCGACGGGGCCCACTGGAAATTGCTATCTGCTCAAAACCTTTCTCTTCCTGCCCTGTACTCTGAGGAGGAAGTCAAGGAAATGGCAGTGCTGTATCCTAAGGCTGGGTGTTCACTACAACCCTTCCAGTGCTCCCTTGTGCAAGAGACGAGGTGCATGGAGGTGACAGATTGTGCCCGGGCCCCGGAAGGAGGGAGGGGAGGCCAGGCTGGGATTTAAGCCTGTGCCAGCCAGGTTCTGGGTGCGAGTTCCTAACCAGTCCCAGAGCCCCCAGCTTCCACCCTCTGATCCCAGCCACGGAGTCCCCTTGTCCCGGCCTAGGGGTGGGGGAGGAGCAGGACAGTCTGACCACAGGGGGACTCGCACCCACCCTCGTTTCTACACCTGTCCACCAGCTCTCACCCCCAACCGCTGACGGCAGAAAAGGGACCTCACGACGCCCAGGAGAGGAACCGGAGACCAAAGTCGACCCCTTGGGTCCAACTCAGCATCTTTGGGCACCTGCAGCCCAGTCAAAGCCCAAAGTCGCTGGGGACGCTGGCTCCCTCCCCTTTCCCAGAGCTCAGGGCCCCTGCCTGCTCCTGCCGGGGACTTGGTGGGCTGTGCCCTGAGGGTCCCAGTGCGTGGTCCCTCCGTCTGAGCCCCTCGTCCTCGCCCCAGGCCCCACTGAGGCCTCTGCCTCGGACTACTACACACTCCAGACTGAGGTCCCTGAACCCTCCACAGGAGCCCAGGCAGAGCCCTTCACAATATTCCGGAGGACCCTGGGGTCTGCAACCTCCCCCACTGGCCTGTTCCCCCACCTGGCACCATGGGAGAAGAGGAACTTGGCCCCACTCGCGGGCCTGCTGTCTCCCTGCCCAGGGCCGGCGGACCCTCCCCTGGTGCCAGCAGACCTCGCACAACACTGGCAGGTCCCATCTCCACCTGGGGTTTTGATGCCCCCACTCAACCCCCTGGCTTGGACCCAGAGTGGGGCTTCCTCTCTCCCCGCCTCCACTCCGGCCCCCTCTCCACCATGGCGGAGAACTCCAGGGGCAGGACCCAGCTTCCCACGGGGAGTGGAGGCCAAGGCGCCTCCCTCCTCCCCCTCACGGCTCCTCTCCTCCTCCTCCGGGAAGACTCCGGGGACCCCCACAGGCGGGTCCCTCCCTTTTCCCCAACCCCCCACTCCCTGTGTGCCGGCGTGCTCCTCTCACCCTCTGACCACAGGCCTGCCGAGAACACTGCTCCCCGGGCCAGGCCTCAGCTCAGTTGGGCCACGTTGGGCTCCAGTCTCCTGCAACCTGACCACCATCGGGGGGCCAAACCCAAGCCCCCTGACAGAACGGGAGGGAGGAAGGTGGGAGACAGGCCTGGAGGCTTGGGGGAGCCAGGCCCAGCCCAGATCAGCCTGCAGGGTGTGGGAGGAGCTGCATTTTGCTTTTAATGGGACAGACACTTAAAGGAGAGACGGGGATTTGCGATCCCCATCAAACCAGGGCCCAACTCCCAAGGCCTTCTCTTATTCCTGGCAACTGTAATAAAAAAGCCAGGCGTGTGGCCTCCTGTTTGTAGCTCCCCAGTTGTGTGGAGATGTCATTTACAAGAAGACTCACCCTAACCAGCCCACTCTTTAGGCTCTGGCCCTGGGCAGGCAGCCAGGGAAGCAGTCAGCTCTGCACCCAAGGCTCTGTGCAGGCTCTTGTCCGCTGTAAGCCCGGGCTTAACAAAGCCTCTCCCAGGACCCCAGGTCCTCTAAGGATGGTGCCTCACGCCCCAGCAGCAGGCGCCACGGGCTACCAAGCCCCCCTGGCTGGGGCTCCTGGGGACCCGCGTTCTGGGCACCTGACCCACACGCACCGAGCAGACGGGTTGAGGCGTTGCAGTGATGGAGCCAGGGGGCTACCCGTGTGTCCACGCAGGGCAGGACCCATCTCACCAGACCCTGCAACCCCAGGTGGGATAGGAGGAGCGGACGCGGAGGGCTCCCCAGCCCTCCTTTGTCTAGCTTGCTCTGCAGCCCCCGCCCTGCCCTGGGAACAGCGGAGGAGCTCCGGGTGAGACCTCAGCACACAGGCGAGGCCAGCCCTGAGGACAGTGCACTGTGGAAGAGCCTGGGGCTGACTTCAGCGTACTTAAGCACAAGGCGAAGAGGGTGGAGCCATCACTCGGAGTGTTAGGAGTGTGGCAAGGAGATGGGGGTGGCCTGGCTGTTGGGGGAGCCCCAGGCAGGGCCCACACAGGCACGGTCGAGGGTCTCAGCACATGGGGCCAGTGCTGGTCAAAGCAGAGGTGAGAGAGGCAGGGAGGTATCAGCGTCTGTGTGGCAACACCGCCCAGACTGGGGAGGGGCTGTCAGAGGACCCAGGGGTCTCTTGGGATGTGTGGGCTGGAAGTGGGGTTCTGGGCTTCGGGACGCTCAGAAGAGCCTGGAGCTCGGGAAAAGGGGCTGCCCTGGAAAGCCTGGGCTGGGGCCCCAAGGGGTAGGGGCCGGGACATGAGGAAGCAGAGGAGAGTAGGAGGGCAGGCAGCGCCCAGGGCAGAGGAAGACCCACAAAGCACAGGCTGGTGAGGAAGAGGCCTCATGTCCCAGCCTCCTCCCTTCTGAGACCCAGCCCCTGTGCCAGGCCCACTCAGATCCAGAGCCCCACATCAGATGCCCCTGGGCGCCTGGATCCCACCCTCCTTCTGTCCTGGCAGCCCTGTCAGAAGGCTGCTGCCATCCCACTATGCCCTGAAGAGGACAGAACAAAGCCAGGGGGTCAAACCAGGGTCTGTGTGAGTGTGCGCTCCTCTGAGTGCGCTTCTCTGAGTGTGCACTCCTCTGAGTGTGAGATCCTCTGAGTGTGCACTCCTCTGACTGTGTGCTCCTCTGAGTGCGTGCTTGTCTGAGTGTGTGCTCCTCTGAGTGTGAGCTCCTCTGAGTGTGCGCTCATCTGAGTGTGAGCTCCTCTGAGTGTGCGCTCGTCTGAGTGTCAGCTCCTCTGTGTGTGCACTCGTCTGAGTGTGAACTCCTCTGAGTGTGCACGTCAGCAGGCCTGGCCTGTCACTGGGTGGCAGTCTGGGGCCAGTCCACCTTGGCTTTGGTACCGACCTCCTCTTTGCTAGGAATGGCACCAACACTAACGGCCCCCAGGCCATGATCCTCCACCCAGAGAATTGATGACTTGGAATCGACTCCTCATAGCTTCTCCATCAATTAGAGCCTTTGCCCTGCTTCTGCTGTCTCACTTATTGTCCTTCCTGTAACTGGAAAATCAAAACAGTTCTGTTCAGCATTGATTAGGACACGGGACCCCGTGTAAACACACCCCTCCTCTGTCACACATCCTTCAGAAAGTCCCCAAGATAAATGCTCCACGTCCTGGGAAACACAGATGAGAGTCCCATCTGGCATCCGCACTGCCACCAGCAGCAGAGACCCTCAGGTGGTGGGGCCTTCCAGACGCCTGCGGGGGAGAGGGGTGTCCCCTCTGCCAAGGACCCTGTGCCCCTCCTGCTGCCTGATCTGAGGGTCTCAGAATGACGGGTCCTGTCTGAACCTCCAGACCCCAGGGTGTTTCACTCTCTTCTGCACCCCTGGACCCTGTGCCAGCCACAGTTCTCCAGAAAAATGGGACCGCTGGGAGAGGCCTGCACATTAAGACATTGATTTCACAGAACTGGCTTATGCAATTGTGGGGTCCAGCTGGGCACGTCTGAGTAAGCAACAGACTGGAAACGGGTGGTGGCTGACACTGCCATCTTCAGACAGAATTTCTTCTCTGGGAAGCCTGTGTTGCCCGTCAGGCCCTGCCCTGGTTAGAAGAGGCCCAGCATATTAGGGAGGGTCATCTCCTTCACTGAAAGCTGACCGATGGTGATGTTAACCACACCTGCAGCGCACCCCACACAGCACCTAGCGAGGGCTTGGTGGGATGTTGGGGCTGCAGCCTCACCAAACCAAGCCGACCATCATGGGCTAGGAGCTCCCTGAGGGCAGGGTCTGGCCTGTGAGGCAGTGGCCTTCACACCCTGGCCTGGCACAGGGGACCCGGGCTTACTTGGGTCTTGTCCCTGCCCTGAGAGGCCAGCACCTGCTCTGTGCTGGGGGAGCCGGGGAGGCTCAGGGTGGGGGATGGCGCAGGGGGGACTGCGTTATTGGGTAAAATTGGAGGATGCTGGGGTCTGCCCAAACAGCTGGCAGGACAGACAGGGCCTCCACTGTGAGGACCTGGGGCTCAGACTGACCCTTCGATGCTCCGCGTCTACCCACTACCACGGGGGCTCATTAGGGGCAGCCACGTGGCCTTGCCCGGCCATCGACCTTCACCGTGGCTCCAGACCCTGTCCAGCTGCCTCCTCAACACGTCCAAGTGGCTGATCAAGACACTTGAAGTGATCAAACCAAACCGTTCCTCTCTGGCCCATCGTCCATCTTCTTTTTCCCAGAAAAAGGCGCTGGCCCTCGCTGTCACCACCGCCATCCTGCGCACCCACCAAGGCCCTCAGCAAACCCCACCAGCTTGCCCTCGGCACGCACACCAGACTCAGCACCTTGTGGCATCTCGGCTCACCTGCACCTCTGTCACGAGGCCACTGGCCACCCCAGCTCCAGCCCTGGTCGGCTCCATCAGCCAGAGGTTGCTGTAGAAGATCTTGGGACCCCGGCCGGGCTCCCGTCCCTCCTGTGGCCCAAGCCATGTGCCCAGGAGACCCCGAGCTGCCGGCCCGCCTTTCCAGCCTCCACCCTGCTGTTCCCTCAGTGGGAGCTCAGTCACCTCATCCTCCTCAAGGAGCTGCCCTGGCTGCCCAGACCACCACACAGAGCTCCCACCTCTGCACAGGGCCCACCAGAGCCCTGCCTGGTTGTTCCGGCACATTTCTCCATCAAGGTCAAGCACACAGGGCAGGACCCACCACACGTGTTCACGGTGGCGTCTCCATGCCCCATGGTTTGTTGATGAGCAACTGACTGGTGCTCCCAGAACAACGCCCTCCCAAACCAGAGCAGGGTGGTGGGTGAAGCCCCTGGATGGGAGCCCACGCAGGCCCTTGGGGTGCGGCCCACATTTCAGCTCCCACAGCTAAGCTCATGGGATCCTACCCTGGGCCACAGACACTCGGCGAGGGCAGGCTCCAATGCTGAAGGAAGCATTGCTTCACACGGAGGGGCATGGGGAAGGAGCTGGACCCCTCAGATTAAAAAGAAGAAAATCAACCCACAAAATTGTACAGCAGACGGGACTAAACCTTACAGAAGAAAGAATGGTTCGAGTGATGAGGACGCACGGTGTCCTCTCTGCATCGCCAAATTGGGCATATTCGAAGGATAAACAGGGGCTGTGTGGGCAAAGGAGCCAGCTGAGGGCCCAGGATGGGACAAGTTCAGCTCCAAAGAGCAGAAGGACTGCCATGAATGAAACACATCAAATCTGGCTCAAGCCTTGGCTCAGTAATGACACAAAACAAATGAACACCTCACTGGGCACCATTGGAGGTGGTTAGGGTGCCAGTTTGTTACTCTGAAAAATGTATCAATACAGGAGAAGAAAACAAGCATTTATCCTGTTTGTCCTGAATAAGTGATATTTCAGAGTAACCAAACAATTTACGAAGGAAAATTCTCCCTTATATAATTGCAGCAGATAAATGACTAAGAAAATAATGAATTAGAAAAAAAATCTTTGTGTAACCTTTTATAAAATAATGAATTGGGGCAACAATTATCAACTGCCACCACCTCAGCCCATAAGTCAATCTCAGCATCAGACAGGGCCTAACCTGGTGTATTGCTTGCTGACACAAAATAAAACAAAAATCTCCATAGGATTTAAAGAAGATCCAAAGTCTCATAATTTCATATTCAAAATGACCAGGATACAATCCCAAAATACTCAATATGCAAAGAACCAGGAAAAGTCTGACAAATTATCAAGGTGAAAGACAATCAACAGATATCACCCCCCAAGAAGACCCAGTTGTTGGAATTATCACACTTTTTTTTTTTAGACAGTCTTGCTCTGCCACCCAGGCTGGAGTACAGTGGTGCGATCATCGCTGACTGCAGCCTCCACCTCCCAGGCTCAAGCAATCCTCCCACTTCAGCCTCCTAAGTAGCTGGGACTACCAGTGTGTGTCACCATGCCTGGCTAATTTTTAAATTTTTTTTGTAGAGATGGGGTCTCAGTATGTTGCCCAGACTGGTGTTAACCTCCTGGGCACAAGCAATCCTCCTGCCCTGGCCTCCCAAAGTGCTGAGATTACAGGCATGAGCCACTGTGCCTAGTCCTATCACACAGATTTTAAAGCAATTATTATAATCACGCTCTAAGAAGTAAAGGAAAACACTATTGAAAAAAATGGAAAGATTGAAAGTCTCATCCCAGAAAGAGAAGCTATAAAAAAGAATCAAATGGAAATTTTAGAACAGAAAAATACAATAACCAAAATTAAAAATTCACTGGGTGAGTTCACAAGAAGAATGGAGATGACAAGGAGGAAAATCATTCTGAAATTTTAGAAAGAGCAATGGAAATTATCCAGTCTAATAAAAGAGAAAAAAATTCTTGAAAAATAAACTGCTGGCCGGGCATGGTGGCTCACGCCTGTAATCCCAGCACTTTGGGAGGCTGAGGCAGGCAGATCACGAGGTCAGGAGATCGAGACCATCCTGGCCAACATGGTGAAACTCTGTCTCTACTAAAAATACAAAAAATTAGCCCAGCATGGCGGCAGGCACCTGTAGTCCCAGCTACTCGGGAGGTTGAGGCAGGAGAATGGCATGAACCCGGGAGGCAGAGCTTGCAGTGAGCTGAGATCACGCCACTGCACTTCAGCCCGAGCAACAGAGCGAGACTCCATCTAAAAATAAAAAAATTAAAAAAAAATAAACAGCTGGGTGATCATAGTGGCTTATGCCTATAAACCCAGCACATGTGGGGAGGCTGTGGTGGGAGGATTATGTGAGGCCAGGAGTTTGAGACCAATCTGGGCCACATAGCAACACTGTGTCTCTACAAATAGTTAAAAATTAGCCAGGTGTAGTGGTGCATGCCTATAGTCCCAGCTACTCAGGCTGAGGTGGGAGGATTGCTTGAGCCCAGGAGTTCCAGGCTGCAGTGAGCCAAGGTCACACCACTGCACTCCAGCATGGGCAAGAGTCTAAGACCCTGTCTCAGAAATGAAATAAAATAAAATAAAATAAGTGAAATAAAATAAAATAAACAGAGCCCCAGGGTCCTACATGATGCTATGAAATGGTCTAAGTTTTGTGTCACTGGAGTCCCAGAAGGAAATGAGAAAACAGAAATATTCAAAGAAATAGAGTATAAAATCTGCTGAAAAGTCATAAATTTATAGATTCAAAGAAGCTCAGTGAACTTCAGAGAGGATAAACTCAGAAAAATCCATACCCAGAAACATCAATCAAACTACCAAAAACCAAAGACAAAGAAAATGCCTCGAAGGCAGCCAGAGAAGAACGGTGCACGGCCAGAGGGAAACTTGGGTTTGAAAGCCTGTGGATTTCTCATTAGAGAGCATGGGCGCCTAAGGCAGTCGGCCAGTGTTGTTAAGTGCGAAAAGAAACTAGTGGTCAGGCCGGGCACGGTGGCTCACGCCTGTAATCCCAGCACTTTGGGAGCCTGAGGTGGGTGGATCACTAGAGGTCAGAAGTTCGAGACCAGGCTGCCCATCGTGGTGAAACCCTGTCTCCATTAAAAATACAAAAAGTGGCCGGGCGCAGTGGCTTGCGCCTGTAATCCCAGCACTTCGGGAGGCCGAGGCGGGTGGATCACGAGGTGAGGAGATCGAGAAAATCCTGTCTAACACGGTGAAACCCCATCTCTACTAAAAATACAAAAAATAATTAGCCGGGCGTGGTGGCGGGCACCTGTAGTCCCAGATACTCGGGAGGCTGAGGCAGGAGAATGGCGCAAACCTGGGAGGCGGAGCTTGCAGTGAGGCGAGATTGTACCACTGCACTCCAGCCTGGGTGACAGAGCGAGACTCCGTCTCAAAAAAAAACAAAAACAAAAAACAAAAACAAAAAAAACTAGTTGTCAACCAAGAAGTCTGTACAGCAAAAATGTCCTTTAGGAATTAAGTAAACTAAAGACATTCTCAAATGAGGGAAAATAAAGAGAATTTTTCACTGCAGATTTGTTCTAAAAGAAATGTGGGGCCTGGCGCAGTGGCTCACACCTGTAATCCCAGCACTTCGGGAGGCCAAGGCAGGTGGATCACTTGAGGTCAGGAGTTCGAGACCAGCCTGGCCAACATGGTGAAACCACATGTCTACTAAAAACTAAAAAAAAAAATTAGCCGGGCATGGTGGTGGGCGCCTGTAGTCCCAGCTACTCAAGAGGCTGAGGCAGGAGAATCGCTTGGATCTGGGAGGCAGAGGTTGCAGTCAGCCAAGATTGCACCATTGCACTCTACCCTGGGTGACAGAGCGAGACTCTGTCAAAAAAAAAAAAAAAAAAGAAAAGTATAGAAATGTGAAAGAGGGTTCTTCAGGCAGAATGGAAATGATTCCAGAAGGAAACTTGGAACTGCAGAAAATATAAATATATCGGTGAAGGTAAAATATTATTTTTTCTTCTTACGTTGTTAAAGCATGCATGATACCTGAGAGTAATGAGTTAAGGGCAAAAATCATAACACTGGGGAAGTTATGAGTGTATATAGATGTAATAATGATTATTATGAAATTATGAATGTATATAGATGTAATGATGATTATAACACCGGGGGAAGTTGTGAGTGTATATAGATGTAACGATGATTATAACACCGGGGGAAGTTGTGAGTGTATATAGGTGTAACGATGATTATAACACCGGGGGAAGTTGTGAGTGTATATAGATGTAACGATGATTATAACACCGGGGGAAGTTGTGAGTGTATACAGATGTAATGATGATTGTAACACCGGGGGAAGTTGTGAGTGTATATAGATGTAATGATGATTATAACACCGGGGGATGTTGTGAGTGTATATAGATGTAATGATGATTATAACACCGGGGGAAGTTGTGAGTGTATATAGATGTAATGATGATTATAACACCGGGGAAGTTGTGAGTGTATATAGATGTAATGATGATTATAACACCGGGGAAGTTGTGAGTGTATATAGATGTAATGATGATTATAACACCGGGGGAAGTTGTGAGTGTATACAGATGTAATGATGATTATAACACCGGGGGAAGTTGTGAGTGTATACAGATGTAATGATGATTATAACACCGGGGGAAGTTGTGAGTGTATATAGATGTAATGATGATTATAACACCGGGGGAAGTTGTGAGTGTATATGGATGTAATGATGATTATGACACCGGGGGAAGTAGTGAGTGTATATAGATGTAATGATGATTGTAACACCGGGGGAAGTTGTGAGTGTATATAGATGTAATGATGATTATGACACCGGGGGAAGTTGTGAGTGTATATAGATGTAATGATGATTATGACACCGGGGGAAGTAGTGAGTGTATATAGGTGTAATGATGATTATGACACCGGGGGAAGTTGTGAGTGTATATAGATGTAATAATGATTATAACACCGGGGGAAGTTGTGAGTGTATATAGATGTAATGATGATTATGACACCGGGGGAAGTAGTGAGTGTATATAGGTGTAATAATGATTATGACACCGGGGGAAGTTGTGAGTGTATATAGATGTAATGATGATTATGACACCGGGGGAAGTTGTGAGTGTATATAGATGTAATGATGATTATGACACCGGGGGAAGTTGTGAGTGTATATAGGTGTAACGATGATTATAACACCGGGGGAAGTTGTGAGTGTATATAGATGTAATGATGATTATAACCGGGGAAGTTGTGAGTGTATATAGATGTATGATGATTATAACACCGGGGGAAGTTGTGAGTGTATATAGATGTAATGATGATTATAACACCGGGGGAAGTTGTGAGTGTATATAGATGTAATGATGATTATAACACCGGGGGAAGTTGTGAGTGTATATAGATGTAATGATGATTATGACACCGGGGGAAGTTGTGAGTGTATATAGATGTAATGATGATTATGACACCGGGGGAAGTTGTGAGTGTATATAGGTGTAATGATGATTATAACACCGGGGGAAGTTGTGAGTGTATATAGATGTAATGATGATTATAACACCGGGGAAGTTGTGAGTGTATATAGATGTAATGATGATTATAACACCGGGGGAAGTTGTGAGTGTATATAGATGTAATGATGATTATAACACCGGGGGAAGTTGTGAGTGTATATAGATGTAATGATGATTATAACACCGGGGGAAGTTGTGAGTGTATACAGATGTAATGATGATTATAACACCGGGGGAAGTTGTGAGTGTATATAGATGTAATGATGATTATAACACCGGGGGAAGTTGTGAGTGTATATGGATGTAATGATGATTATAACACCGGGGGAAGTAGTGAGTGTATATAGATGTAATGATGATTGTAACACCGGGGGAAGTTGTGAGTGTATATAGATGTAATGATGATTATGACACCGGGGGAAGTTGTGAGTGTATATAGATGTAATGATGATTATGACACCGGGGGAAGTAGTGAGTGTATATAGGTGTAATGATGATTATGACACCGGGGGAAGTTGTGAGTGTATATAGATGTAATGATGATTATGACACCGGGAGAAGTTGTGAGTGTATATAGATGTAATGATGATTATGACACCGGGGGAAGTTGTGAGTGTATATAGATGTAATGATGATTATGACACCGGGGGAAGTAGTGAGTGTATATAGGTGTAATAATGATTATGACACCGGGGGAAGTTGTGAGTGTATATAGATGTAATGATGATTATGACACCGGGGGAAGTTGTGAGTGTATATAGATGTAATGATGATTATGACACCGGGGGAAGTTGTGAGTGTATATAGATGTAATGATGATTACAACACCGGGGGAAGTTGTGAGTGTATATAGATGTAATGATGATTATAACACCGGGGGAAGTTGTGAGTGTATATAGATGTAATGATGATTATGACACCGGGGGAAGTTGTGAGTGTATATAGATGTAATAATGATTATAACACCGGGGGAAGTTGTGAGTGTATATAGATGTAATGATGATTATAACACCGGGGGAAGTAGTGAGTGTATATAGATGTAATGATGATTATGACACCGGGGGAAGTTGTGAGTGTATATAGATGTAATAATGATTATAACACCGGGGGAAGTTGTGAGTGTATATAGATGTAATGATGATTATAACACCGGGGGAAGTTGTGAGTGTATATAGATGTAATGATGATTATGACACCGGGGGAAGTTGTGAGTGTATATAGATGTAATGATGATTATGACACCGGGGGAAGTTGTGAGTGTATATAGATGTAGTGATGATTATAACACCGGGGGAAGTTGTGAGTGTATATAGATGTAATGATGATTATAACACCGGGGGAAGTTGTGAGTGTATATAGATGTAATGATGATTATAACACCGGGGGAAGTTGTGAGTGTATATAGATGTAATGATGATTATGACACCGGGGGAAGTTGTGAGTGTATATAGATGTAATGATGATTATGACACCGGGGGAAGTAGTGAGTGTATATAGGTGTAATGACGATTATAACACCGGGGGAAGTTGTGAGTGTATATAGATGTAATGATGATTATGACACCGGGAGAAGATGTGAGTGTATATAGATGTAATGATGATTATGACACCGGGGGAAGTTGTGAGTGTATATAGATGTAATGATGATTAAGACACCGGGGGAAGTAGTGAGTGTATATAGGTGTAATAATGATTATGACACCGGGGGAAGTTGTGAGTGTATATAGATGTAATGATGATTATGACACCGGGGAAGTTGTGAGTGTATATAATGTAATGATGATTATGACACCGGGGGAAGTTGTGAGTGTATATAGATGTAATGATGATTATGACACCGGGGGAAGTTGTGAGTGTATATAGATGTAATGATGATTATAACACCGGGGAAGTAGTGAGTGTATATAGAGGTAATATGATTATAACACCGGGGGAAGTTGTGAGTGTATATAGATGTAATGATGATTATAACACCGGGGAAGTTGTGAGTGTATTAGATGTAATGATGATTATAACCGGGGGAAGTTGTGAGTGTATATAGATGTATGATGATTATAACACCGGGGGAAGTTGTGAGTGTATATAGATGTAATGATGATTATAACACCGGGGGAAGTTGTGAGTGTATATAGATTAATAATGATTATAACACCGGGGGAAGTTGGAGTGTATAAGATTAATGAGTGTAACGGGGGAAGTTGTGAGTGTATATACATGTAATGATGATTATGACACCGGGGAAGTTGTGAGTGTATATAGATGTAATGATGATTATGACACCGGGGGAAGTTGTGAGTGTATATAGATGTAATGATGATTATGACACCGGGGAAGTAGTGAGTGTATATAGGTGTAATAATGATTATGCACCGGGGGAAGTTGTGAGTGTATATAGATGTAATGATGATTATGACACCGGGGGAAGTTGTCAGTGTATATAGATGTAATGATGATTATGACACCGGGGGAAGTTGTGAGTGTATATAGATGTAATGATGATTATAACACCGGGGGAAGTTGTGAGTGTATATAGATGTAATGATGATTATAACACCGGGGGAAGTTGTGAGTGTATATAGATGTAATGATGATTATAACACCGGGGGAAGTTGTGAGTGTATATAGATGTAATGATGATTATGACACCGGGGGAAGTAGTGAGTGTATATAGGTGTAATGACGATTATGACACCGGGGGAAGTTGTGAGTGTATATAGATGTAATGATGATTATGACACCGGGAGAAGTTGTGAGTGTATATAGATGTAATGATGATTATACACCGGGGGAAGTTGTGAGTGTATATAGATGTAATGATGATTATGACACCGGGGAAGTAGTGAGTGTATATAGATGTAATGATGATTATAACACCGGGGGAAGTTGTGAGTGTATATAGATGTAATGATGATTATGACACCGGGGAAGTTGTGAGTGTATATAGATGTAATGATGATTATAACACCGGGGGAAGTTGTGAGTGTATATAGATGTAATGATGATTATAACACCGGGGGAAGTTGTGAGTGTATATAGATGTAATAATGATTATATCACCGGGGGAAGTTGTGAGTGTATATAGATGTAATGATGATTATAACACCGGGGGAAGTTGTGAGTGTATATAGATGTAATGATGATTATGACACCGGAGGAAGTAGTGAGTGTATATAGGTGTAATGATGATTATGACACCGGGGGAAGTTGTGAGTGTATATAGATGTAATATGATTATAACACCGGGGGAAGTTGTGAGTGTATATAGATGTAATGATGATTATGACACCGGGGGAAGTAGTGATGTATATAGGTGTAATAATGATTATGACACCGGGGAAGTTGTGAGTGTATATAGATGTAATGATGATTATGACACCGGGGGAAGTTGTGAGTGTATATAGATGTAATGATGATTATGACACCGGGGGAAGTTGTGAGTGTATATAAGTGTAACGATGATTATAACACGGGGAAGTTGTGAGTGTATATAGATGTAATGATGATTATAACACCGGGGGAAGTTGTGAGTGTATATAGATGTAATGATGATTATAACACCGGGGGAAGTTGTGAGTGTATATAGATGTAATGATGATTATGACACCGGGGGAAGTTGTGAGTGTATATAGATGTAATGATGATTATGACACCGGGGGAAGTTGTGAGTGTATATAGATGTAATGATGATTATGACACCGGGGGAAGTTGTGAGTGTATATAGGTGTAATGATGATTATAACACCGGGGAAGTTGTGAGTGTATATAGATGTAATGATGATTATAACACCGGGGGAAGTTGTGAGTGTATATAGATGTAATGATGATTATGACACCGGGGGAAGTTGTGAGTGTATATAGATGTAATGATGATTATAACAACGGGGGAAGTTGTGAGTGTATATAGATGTAATGATGATTATAACACCGGGGAAGTTGTGAGTGTATACAGATGTAATGATGATTACAACACCGGGGGAAGTTGTGAGTGTATATAGATGTAATGATGATTATAACACCGGGGGAAGTTGTGAGTGTATATGGATGTAATGATGATTATGACACCGGGGAAGTAGTGAGTGTATATAGATGTAATGATGATTGTAACACCGGGGGAAGTGTGAGTGTATATAGATGTAATGATGATTATGACACCGGGGGAAGTTGTGAGTGTATATAGATGTAATGATGATTATGACACCGGGGGAAGTAGTGAGTGTATATAGGTGTAATGATGATTATGACACGGGGGATGTTGTGAGTGTATATAGATGTAATGATGATTATGACACCGGGAGAAGTTGTGAGTGTATATAGATGTAATGATGATTATGACACCGGGGGAAGTTGTGAGTGTATATAGATGTAATGATGATTATGACACCGGGGGAAGTAGTGAGTGTATATAGGTGTAATAATGATTATGACACCGGGGGAAGTTGTGAGTGTATATAGATGTAATGATGATTATGAACACCGGGGGAAGTTGTGAGTGTATATAGATGTAATGATGATTATGACACCGGGGGAAGTTGTGAGTGTATATAGATGTAATGATGATTATAACACCGGGGGAAGTTGTGAGTGTATATAGATGTAATGATGATTATAACACCGGGGGAAGTTGTGAGTGTATATACATGTAATAATGATTATGACACCGGGGGAAGTTGTGAGTGTATATAGATGTAATAATGATTATAACACCGGGGGAAGTTGTGAGTGTATATAGATGTAATGATGATTATAACACCGGGGGAAGTAGTGAGTGTATATAGATGTAATAATGATTATGACACCGGGGGAAGTTGTGAGTGTATATAGATGTAATAATGATTATAACACCGGGGGAAGTTGTGAGTGTATATAGATGTAATGATGATTATAACACCGGGGGAAGTAGTGAGTGTATATAGATGTAATGATGATTATGACACCGGGGGAAGTTGTGAGTGTATATAGATGTAATGATGATTATAACACCGGGGGAAGTTGTGAGTGTATATAGATGTAGTGATGATTATAACACCGGGGGAAGTTGTGAGTGTATATAGATGTAATGATGATTATAACACCGGGGGAAGTTGTGAGTGTATATAGATGTAATGATGATTATAACACCGGGGAAGTTGTGAGTGTATATAGATGTAATGATGATTATAACACGGGGAAGTTGTGAGTGTATAAGATGTAATGATGATTATGACACCGGGGAAGTAGTGAGTGTATATAGATGTAATGATGATTATGACACCGGGGAAGTTGTGAGTGTATATAGATGTAATGATGATTATGACACCGGGAGAAGTTGTGAGTGTATATAGATGTAATGATGATTATGACACCGGGGGAAGTTGTGAGTGTATATAGATGTAATGATGATTATGACACCGGGAGAAGTTGTGAGTGTATATAGATGTAATGATGATTATGACACCGGGAGAAGTTGTGAGTGTATATAGATGTAATGACGATTATGACACCGGGGGAAGTAGTGAGTGTATATAGGTGTAATGACGATTATAACACCGGGGGAAGTAGTGAGTGTATATAGATGTAATGATGATTATGACACCGGGAGAAGTTGTGAGTGTATATAGATGTAATGATGATTATGACACCGGGGGAAGTTGTGAGTGTATATAGATGTAATGATGATTATGACACCGGGGGAAGTAGTGAGTGTATATAGCTGTAATAATGATTATGACACCGGGGGAAGTTGTGAGTGTATATAGATGTAATGATGATTATAACACCGGGGGAAGTTGTGAGTGTATATAGATGTAATGATGATTATAACACCGGGGGAAGTTGTGAGTGTATATAGATGTAATGATGATTATAACACCGGGGGAAGTTGTGAGTGTATATAGATGTAATGATGATTATGACACCGGGGGAAGTAGTGAGTGTATATAGATGTAATGATGATTATGACACCGGGGGAACTTGTGAGTGTATATAGATGTAATGATGATTATGACACCGGGAGAAGTTGTGAGTGTATATAGATGTAATGATGATTATGACACCGGGGGAAGTTGTGAGTGTATATAGATGTAATGATGATTATGACACCGGGAGAAGTTGTGAGTGTATATAGATGTAATGATGATTATGACACCGGGAGAAGTTGTGAGTGTATATAGATGTAATGACGATTATGACACCGGGGGAAGTAGTGAGTGTATATAGGTGTAATGACGATTATAACACCGGGGGAAGTAGTGAGTGTATATAGATGTAATGATGATTATGACACCGGGAGAAGTTGTGAGTGTATATAGATGTAATGATGATTATGACACCGGGGGAAGTTGTGAGTGTATATAGATGTAATGATGATTATGACACCGGGGGAAGTAGTGAGTGTATATAGATGTAATGATGATTATGACACCGGGGGAAGTTGTGAGTGTATATAGATGTAATGATGATTATAACACGGGGGAAGTTGTGAGTGTATATAGCTGTAATAATGATTATGACACCGGGGAAGTTTGAGTGTATATAGATGTAATGATGATATGACACGGGGAAGTTGTATGTATATAGATGTAATGATGATTATGACACCGGGGAAGTTGTGAGTGTATATAGATGTAATGATGATTATAACACCGGGGGAAGTTGTGAGTGTATATAGATGTAATGATGATTATAACACCGGGGAAGTTGTGAGTGTATATAGATGTAATGATGATTGTAACACCGGGGGAAGTTGTGAGTGTATATAGGTGTAATGATGATTATGACACCGGGGGAAGTTGTGAGTGTATATAGATGTAATGATGATTATGACACCGGGGGAAGTTGTGAGTGTATATAGATGTAATGATGATTATGACACCGGGCGAAGTTGTGAGTGTATATAGATGTAATGATGATTATAACACCCGGGGAAGTTGTGAGTGTATATAGATGTAATGATGATTATAACACCGGGGGAAGTAGTGAGTGTATATAGATGTAATGATGATTATAACACCGGGGGAAGTTGTGAGTGTATATAGATGTAATGATGATTATAACACCGGGGAAGTTGTGAGTGTATATAGATGTAATGATGATTATGACACCGGGGGAAGTTGTGAGTGTATATAGATGTAATGATGATTATAACACCGGGGGAAGTTGTGAGTGTATATAGATGTAATGATGATTATGACACCGGGGGAAGTTGTGAGTGTATATAGATGTAATGATGATTATAACACCGGGGAAGTTGTGAGTGTATATAGATGTAATGATGATTATAACACCGGGGAAGTTGTGAGTGTATATAGATGTAATGATGATTGTAACACCGGGGGAAGTTGTGAGTGTATATAGATGTAATGATGATTGTAACACCGGGGGAAGTTGTGAGTGTATATAGGTGTAATGATGATTATAACACCGGGGGAAGTTGTGAGTGTATATAGATGTAATAATGATTATATCACCGGGGGAAGTTGTGAGTGTATATAGATGTAATGATGATTGTAACACCGGGGGAAGTTGTGAGTGTATATAGATGTAATGATGATTATAACACCGGGGAAGTTGTGAGTGTATATAGATGTAATGATGATTATAACACCGGGGAAGTTGTGAGTGTATATAGATGTAATGATGATTGTAACACCGGGGGAAGTTGTGAGTGTATATAGATGTAATGATGATTGTAACACCGGGGGAAGTTGTGAGTGTATATAGGTGTAATGATGATTATAACACCGGGGGAAGTTGTGAGTGTATATAGATGTAATAATGATTATATCACCGGGGGAAGTTGTGAGTGTATATAGATGTAATGATGATTGTAACACCGGGGGAAGTTGTGAGTGTATATAGATGTAATGATGATTATAACACCGGGGGTAGTTGTGAGTGTATATAGATGTAATAATGATTATGACACCGGGGGAAGTTGTGAGTGTATATAGATGTAATGATGATTATGACACCGGGGGAAGTTGTGAGTGTATATAGATGTAATGATGATTATGACACCGGGGGAAGTTGTGAGTGTATATAGATGTAATAATGATTATGACACCGGGGGGAAGTTGTGAGTGTATATAGATGTAATGATGATTATAACACCCGGGGAAGTTGTGAGTGTATATAGATGTAATGATGATTATAACACCGGGGGAAGTTGTGAGTGTATATATATGTAATGATGATTATAATACCGGGGGAAGTTGTGAGTGTATATAGATGTAATGATGATTATAACACCGGGGGAAGTTGTGAGTGTATATAGATGTAATGATGATTATAACACCGGGGGAATTTGTGAGTGTATATAGATGTAATGATGATTATAACACCGGGGGAAGTTGTGAGTGTATATAGATGTAATGATGATTATAACACCGGGGGATGTTGTGAGTGTATATAGATTTAATGATGATTATGACACCGGGGGAAGTTGTGAGTGTATATAGATGTAATGATGATTATGACACCGGGGGAAGTTGTGAGTGTATATAGATGTAATGATGATTATGACACCGGGGGAGGTTGTGAGTGTATATAGATGTAATGATGATTATGACACCGGGGGAAGTTGTGAGTGTATATAGATGTAATGATGATTATAACACCGGGGGAAGTTGTGAGTGCATATAGATGTAATGATGATTATAACACCGGGGGAAGTTGTGAGTGTATATAGATGTAATGATGATTATAACACCGGGGGGAAGTTGTGAGTGTATATAGATGTAATGATGATTATGACACCGGGGGAAGTTGTGAGTGTATATAGATGTAATGATGATTGTAACACCGGGGGAAGTTGTGAGTGTATATACGTGTAATAATGATTATAACACCGGGGGAAGTTTTGAGTGTATATAGATGTAATGATGATTATAACACCGGGGGAAGTTGTGAGTGTATATAGATGTAATGATGATTATAACACCGGGGGAAGTTGTGAGTGTATATAGATGTAATGATGATTATAACACCGGGGGGAAGTTGTGAGTGTATATAGATGTAATGATGATTATAACACCGGGGGAAGTTGTGAGTGTATATAGATGTAATGATGTTTATGACACCGGGGGAAGTTGTGAGTGTATATAGATGTAATGATGTTTATAACACCGGGGGAAGTTGTGAGTGTATATAGATGTAATGATGATTATGACACCGGGGGAAGTTGTGAGTGTTTATAGATGTAATGATGATTATAACACCGGGGGAAGTTGTGAGTGTATATAGATGTAATGATGATTATGACACCGGGGGAAGTTGTGAGTGTATATAGATGTAATGATGATTATAACACCGGGGGGAAGTTGTGAGTGTATATAGATGTAATGATGATTATAACACCGGGCGAAGTTGTGAGTGTATATAGATGTAATGATGATTATAACACCGGGGGAAGTTGTGAGTGTATATAGATGTAATGATGTTTATAACACCGGGGGAAGTTGTGAGTGTATATAGATGTAATGATGATTATAACACCGGGGGAAGTTGTGAGTGTATATAGATGTAATGATGATTATAACACCCAGGGAAGTTGTGAGTGTATATAGATGTAATGATGATTATAACACCGGGGGAAGTTGTGAGTGTATATAGATGTAGTGATGATTATAACACCGGGGGAAGTTGTGAGTGTATATAGATGTAATGATGATTATAACACGGGGGGAAGTTGTGAGTGTATATAGACGTAATGATGATTATAACACCGGGGGAAGTTGTGAGTGTATATGGATGTAATGATGATTATAACACCCGGGGAAGTTGTGAGTGTATATAGATGTAATAATGAGACAACTTTCTGTATAAGGGAGCAATCTGGTTGTGGTGCGAAGTTCTCTACTTCCCATTTTAAGTGGCAAATATTAATTATAAATAGACTGTGACAAATTCAGCATGTAGATTGCAATCTTCAGAACGATTGCTTAAAACAAACAAACAATTTAAGTAGTGAAAAAACCCAGTAGAAGAATTAAAGTGGGAGACTTCAACATAGAAATAATCCGACAGAAGTCAGGAAAGGGATGGTAGAGGAACCACGTGAGAGGCCTCAACAGACACTCATAATAAAGTGTTAGGTCCAAGTCGAAATAAATAGTTAAAATTAAATACCCAGGAATTCACCAAATAAGGGAGAGATCTCTACAATTAAAACTACAAAGCAATGACAGGAATTGAAGAAGAGGCCGGGGCGGGGGCTGACACCTGTAACTGATGATAGGAATTGAAGAGGAGGCCGGGGCGGTGGCTCACTCCTGTAACTGATGATAGGAATTGAAGAGGAGGCCGGGGCGGTGGCTCACTCCTGTAACTGATGATAGGAATTGAAGAGGAGACCGGGGCGGTGGCTCACCCCTGTAACTGATGATAGGAATTGAAGAGGAGGCCGGGGCGGGGGCTCACCCCTGTAACTGATGATAGGAATTGAAGAGGAGGCCGGGGCGGGGGCTCACCCCTGTAACCGATGATAGGAATTGAAGAGGAGGCCGGGGCGGTGGCTCACCCCTGTAACCGATGATAGGAATTGAAGAGGAGGCCGGGGCGGTGGCTCACCCCTGTAACCGATGATAGGAATTGAAGAGGAGGCCGGGGCGGGGGCTCACCCCTGTAACTGATGATAGGAATTGAAGAAGAGGCCGGGGCAGGGGCTCACCCCTGTAACTGATGATAGGAATTGAAGAGGAGGCCGGGGCGGTGGTTCACTCCTGTAACTGATGATAGGAATTGAAGAGGAGGCCGGGGCGGGGGCTCACCCCTGTAACTGATGATAGGAATTGAAGAGGAGGCCGGGGCGGTGGCTCACCCCTGTAACTGATGATAGGAATTGAAGAGGAGGCCGGGGCGGGGGCTCACACCTGTAACTGATGATAGGAATTGAAGAGGAGGTCGGGGTAGTGTTTCACTCCTGTAACTGATGATAGGAATTGAAGAGGAGGCCGGGACGGTGGTTCACCCCTGTAACTGATGATAGGAATTGAAGAGGAGGCCGGGGCGGGGGCTCACCCCTGTAACTGATGATAGGAATTGAAGAGGAGGCCGGGGCGGTGGCTCACCCCTGTAACTGATGATAGGAATTGAAGAGGAGGCTGGGGCGGGGGCTCACACCTGTAACTGATGATAGGAATTGAAGAGGAGGCCGGGGCGATGGCCCACAGCTGTAATCGCAGCACTTTGGGAGGCCAAAGTGGGCAGATACCTGAGGTCAGGTGTTCAAGACCAGCCTGGCCAACATGGCGAAACCCCGTCTCTACTAAAAATACAAAAATTAGCCGGGCGTTTTGGCGGGCTTGTAATCCCAGACACTTGGGAGGCGGAGGCAGGAAGAGTTGCTTGAACCCGGGAGGTGGAGCTTGCAGTGAGCCGATATTGCACCACTGCACTCCTGCCTGGGCGACAGAGAGATAATTTGTCTGAAAAAAAAAAAAAAAAAGAAAAAAGAAAAAATGAAAGAAAAGAAAAAGAAGTTGAAGAGGGCACAAAAAGATATTCCATGTTCAGGAATTGGAAAAATCAATATCGTTAAAATGTCCATACTACCCAAAGTGATCTACAGATTCAATGCAATCCCCCTATTAAAATACCAATAACACATCACAGGAATAGAAAAAAAATCCTGAAATGTATATGGAACCAAAAAAGACCCCAAATAGCTAAAGCTATCCTGAGAAAAAAACAACAAACAAACAAAGAACAATTGTAGGAATCACATTAACACATAGATCAATGAAACCAAGCAGAGAATCCAGGAACAAGTCATATACCTACAATTAGCTCATTTTCAACAAAAGTGCCAAGAACCTACATTCAGGAAAAGACAGTCTTTTCAATACACGTTTCTGGGAAAACTGGATATGCATAAGCAAAAGAATGAAGCTCAACCCCTACCTCTTGTCATATACAAAAATCAAATCAAAGTAGATTTAAAGACTTAAATCTAAGACCTCAAATTATGAAACAGCTATAAGAAAACATTAAGAAAACTCTCCAGGACATTGGTCTGGGCAAATGTTTCTTGAAGAATACCCCACAAACACAGGCAACCAAAGCAAAAATGGACAAACGAGATCACGTCAAGTTAAAAAGCGTCTGCCCAGCAAAGGAAATAATCAAAACAATGAAGAGACTACCTGCAGAATGGGGAAAATATTTGCAAACTACCCATCTGACAAGGGATTAGTAAGCAGAATAGATAAGGAACTCAACAGTATAGGAAAAAAAATTCTAATAGTCTGATTTTTAAATGGGCAAAAGTTCTGAGTAGACATTTCTCAAAAGAAGACATACAAATGGCAAACAGGCATGTGAAAAGGTACTTGACATCACTGACCATCAGAGAAATGCAAATCAAAACTATGAGATATCATCTCACCCCAGTGGAAATGGCTTTTATCGAAAAGCTGGAGGGTAACAAATGCTGGTGAGGATGTGGAGGAAAGGCAACCCTCACACACCGCTGGTGGAAATGTAAATTAGTGCAACCACTATGGAGAACAGTTTGGAGGTTCCTCAAAAAACTAAAAAGAGAGCTACCATACGACTCACCAATCCCACTGCTGAGGACACACCCCAAAGAAAGGAAATCAGGTTACCGAAGAGATACCTGCCCTTCCATGCTTGTTCCAGTACTGTTCACAACAGAAAGATTTGGAAGCATCCTAAGTGTCCACCAGGAGATGAATGGATAAAGAAAACGTGGTACTTACACACAATTCTGTCATAAAAAAGAATGAGATCCATGGCCAGGCGCCATGGCTCATGCCTGTAATCCCTGCAATTTGGGCAGCTGAGGTGGGGAGATCACCTGAGGTCAGGAGTTTGAGACCAGCCTGGCCAACATAGTGAAACCCCGTCTCTACTAAAAATACAAAAATTAGCAAGGCGTGGTGGTGCACGCCTGTAGTCCCAGCTACTCAGGAGGCTGAGACAGGAAAATGGCTTGAACCAGGTGGCAGAGGTTGCAGCGAGCTGAGATTGTACCATTACACTCCAGCCTCGGTGACAAAGAGAGACTCCATCTCAAAAAAAAAAAAAAAAAAAAGAATGAGATCCTGTCATTTGCAACAACATGGATGGAACTGGAGGTCATTGTGTTAAGTGAAATAAGCCAGGCATAGAAAGACAAATTTTGCTTGTTCTTACTTATTTGTGGGAGATAACAATGAAAACAACTGGACTCAGAGAGAGTAGAAGGATGGTTCCCAGAGGCTGGAAGGGTGGTGGGGGTGGGAGTACGGCTAATGGGCACAAAGGGCAGGTAGAAAGAATGAATAAGACCTAGTATTTGATAGCACAACAGGGTCACTGTAGTTAATAACAATTTAATTGTACATTTAAAGATACCTAAAAGAGGCCGGGCGCGGTGGCTCACGCCTGTAATCCCAGCACTTTGGGAGGCCGAGGCGGGTGGATCACGAGGTCAGGAGATCGTGACCATCCTGGCTAACACGGTGAAGCCCCGTCTCTACTAAAAATACAAAAAATTAGCCGGGCGTGGTGGCGGGCGCCTGTAGTCCCAGCTACTCGGGAGGCTGAGGCAGGAGAATGGCATGAACCCCAGGGGGTGGAGCTTGCAGTGAGCCGAGATCGCGCCACTGCACTCCAGCCCGGGCGACAGTGAGACTCTGCCTCAAAAAAAATAAATAAATAAAATAAAGATACCTAAAAGAGTATAATCGGATTGTTTGTAACACAAAGGATAAATGCTTGAGGGGACGGATGTCCCATTCTCCATGATGTGATTTTTATGCTTTGCGCGCCTGTATCAAAGTATCTCATGTACCCCATAAATATACACACATACTCTGTACCCACAAAATTAAACTCAAACACAGTTATGTTAAATGTCAGTAATCTAAACATACCCAATTAAAAGGCAGAGATTGTTACAGTGAATTTTAAAAAATATCCATCCCACTACATGCTGGCTACACAGAACCCACTTTATATATGACTATATTTGTAAATTAAAAGTTAAAGGATAAAAGAGATATACCAGGGAAATGTTCATCAAAAGAAAGCTGGAATGGCTACAATATCTGATAAAGTCAACTTCAGAACGAGAAAAATTATTAGGGGTAAACAGACATTACATAATGACAAAAGGGTCAATTCACCAAGAAGACATAAAAACCTAAACGTGTATTGCCCTCATAACAGACCTTTAACTGAAAGGAAAAGTAACAGACTCACAACTCTAGCTGGGGCCTCAACAGTCCTCTCAGTATCAACAGAACAATTAGGTAGATAAGGAGGGAGGATACAGGAGAACAATACCATCAGCCAACAATTTCTAAATGACATTTACAGCATCTGCCATCCAACAGCAGCAGGACACACGTTCTTGTCATGTACACATGGAACTCTCCAGAGAAACCATATCCTGGCTTATAAAACAAAACTAACAGATTTAGAAGAATTAAAATTATGTAAAGCATGTTCTTTGACAATAGTGGGTTTAAACTGGAAATGAATGACCTAAAGATACCTTTAAAACCCCAGAGGCTGAGAAATTAACAATTACACTTGTAAGTAATCCATGGATCAAAGAAGTTCTCCTAGAAGAAATTAGAAAGCATTCTGGACTAAATACAAATGAAAATTTAAAATATCAAAATTTTTGGTATGCAGTTAGAGCAGCTCTTAGAGGGAAATTTTTAGCAATAAATGCTTATATTAGAACATCTCATTGACAACCTAAGCTTCTAATTTAGGTAACTAGACAAACAAGAGCCAAAGAAAACCAAAGCAATCAGAGGAAAGAATAGTAAAGATAAAACCGACGTCAGTGGAATTAAAAACAGATAACCAGGTGCAGTGGCTCATGCCTGTAATCCCAGCACTTTGGGAGGCTGAGGTGGGCGGATCACTTGAGGTCAGGAGTTTGAGATTAGCCTGGCCAACATGCAGAAACCCCGTCTCTATTAAAAATACAAAAGTTAGCCAGGTGTGGTGACACATGCCTGTAATCCCAGCTACTTGGGGGTCTGAGGCAGAAGAATCACTTGAACCTGGGAGACAGAGGCAGTGAGCTGAGATGGCGCCACTACACTCCAGCCTGGGTGACAGAGCGAGACTCCATCTCAAAAAACATAAGTAAATAAAATGTTAAGAAAAATAGAAACAAAAATATTAGATAAAATCAATGGAATCAGAAGCTGGTTCTTTGGAAAAGTCAATAAAAATAGGTAAAACTGATAAAGAAAGAGAAGATACAAGTGACCCATTACAGGCATAACAGAGGGGCTGTCACTGCAGAGCCCACAGGCATTGTAAGGATAACAAAGGAGCATTCCATGCACGGATTCAGCACCTCAGATGACTGGACCAATTGGAAATCCACAAACTACCAAGACTCACTCAAGAAGAACTAATAACCTGAACAGCCCTATCTCCACTAAAGCAGTTGA